>NC_000017.11:6400201-6551717 GCF_000001405.40 Homo sapiens | reverse complement strand
TTTCATAACGATGGGGGTCTCATTACGTTGCCCAGGCTGGTCTCAAACTCTGGGCCTCAAGTAATCCTTCCTGCTTTGGCTTCCCAAAGTACTGGAATTACAGGCATGAGCCATCATACCTGGACAACGCTGGGATTCTTAAATCTTTGGGGAGGTGCCAGAGGATTTGAGGCATGACTCTGAGAAACTCCCAGCCCTAGGGCACCGATTACTCTACTGTGTATCTTGGGACGGGCATTGCATCCTGCAAGGAGATGGTAAACTCACTTTCTTTGGTCCCCAATGGGAAGGTTATGGTCAAATATGGTCAAATCAGACACCAGTGTCCAGACTCCAGGCTTTTCTTTTTTTTTTTTGAGATGGAGTCTCGCTCTGTCGCCGAAGCTGGAGTGCAGTGGCGCGATCTCAGCTCAGCTCACGGCAAGCTCCACCTCCCGGGTTCACGCCATTCTCCCGCCTCAGCCTCCTGAGTAGCTGGGACTACAGGTGACTGCCACCATGCCCGGCTAATTTTTTGTATTTTTAGTAGACACGGGGTTTCACCGTGTTAGCCAGGATGGTCTCAATCTCCTGACCTCGTGATCCGCCTGCCTTGGCCTCCCAAAGTGCTGGGATTACAGGTGTGAGCCACCGTGCCTGGCCAGACTCCAGGCTTTTCAAAAGCTTTCCCGCAGTCTGGGGTGTGCTGGAACTTGGATGGCCTCACGTTCCTATGCAAATACGCCGACCTCTGTGAAATCACCTATCCCAGCAGCAGACCTGGCAGGTCCCAGCCTGAGACGTTTGTTGCCGCTCAGTTCTGGCTGTGGTGTCCTTGTTTGAGCCAAGGATGGTGCAGCTCAAACAGAGAGGTTCCACCTCAAGCCTGTGACCCTGGGCCTGGAACCCCTTATCCCCCATTTGAGGCCTCTGTGACTTGACCTGTGTTTGGAAGTCCAGTGTGGCAGGACACAGAATACGAGGACATGGCTGGACAGTGTCCCTGCCCCAGCCACTTGCCTGGGCCATGTCTGGGTCAGATTGGCCAGAAGCTGTGATGTTTTCTCACATACATCTTCATATGTTATGAGACTTCATGGCTGGAGGTGGCCTGGTTCTCCTGTTCTACCTGTTAAGCAGGTTGGGAGACAGAGACCAGACCCTTTCAGTCAAGGGTCCCTCTTTGAGATCCGGCATCCTTTCCCCTTTCAAGGACAGAGTGTGAACTTTCAGAGACCATGGAGGCTTTAGGGACTGGGGACTTCCTGGTAGGACCCAGCTGCCTTCCAGGAATTCTGAGATCCTAGGATCGGGAGTTCGCATGCTGGGACCCATTTGGCTCAGATCCTATAGCAGCTCTCAGCATGCTTTTCTGTCCAATGGCTCAACAGCATCTCTGAGGTAGAGCCAATGTTATTCCCATTTTATGAATGAGACACTGAGGCCCAGTAGGGTTAAATATCTAGGGCTAGAATCACACATAAAGTTAGAGGCAAAGCTGGGATTAGAGCTTATGTCTCTTCTACTGTTGGAGTCAATATTCCTGGGAGCTAACTTGTCTAACGAAGGAGAGCCCTGGCTTTGGCACTGGTTGACCTTGAACTGCCCTCTTTGGGCCTCAGTTTCCTTATCTGTAAAAGTGAAAGGGAAGAGTTTGAGGGTCAGGATGAGCTTCAGGCTCTTTCCAGCTCCAACACTGCTCTCTCCTTTTTGGAGAGAGCCTCCCTGGCTGTGGGTTTTACTGTGTCCTGAAGAGGCCTTGCCCCCTCTCAACTCTGACCTTGCATTGATCCTCCCAGACTTGAGGGTCAGTCATTCCATGGGGAGCTGAGGACGTGGACGTGGAGAGCACGTGCCTCCTGGCAGGCCATCACCAGGTCTGCAGCCAGGAGCCCGGAAGGGGGTGGCCAGGGTCCCCAGGGGAAGGGCTCGGTGTGGGAGGGGGGAGGAGAGAATGCATAACAAATGAGTTTGGAAATCAAATGAGATCTGAGCTCCCCACCCACTCCCTCAAATCTCTCTCCACTCTCTCTCTTTTAAAATTCCTGTTTTCTAAAGAGAAAGAAAATGCTAAATTGCACCCCCTTTTGCAAATGGAATAGGAGGCTTAGTGAGTCACTCCGGAGGTAAATGCCACCTCCAGGGTCCCACGTGTGCCTGTGGAGGCCTGCACAGCTGTGTGGCCACCAGCCCCCACAGGGTGCGTGTGTGGCAAGGGTAGACAGGGGGCAGAAGCCTCCTCTGTCCATGACTCTGGGGTGGGAGCTGGGTCCCAGCACTGGGGCCCCACACAGCCAACCTGCTTCCTCCAGGCTCTCCTAGGGCTGGATTTGTGAGGCTCACACGTTCATGGGGCCACAGCTCAGATTGGGCCAGGCTGGAAGCCTGTGTGGTCACTGTCAGTGCTTGATTTGAGGCTAGAGATGGGGTGCAGAGTGTGGCATGTTGGGGTTCAGTCTGTGGCTGGAGTTGGCACAGTGTGAGTGAATTTGGGGCTCCATGGGGTGTAGTCCGTGTGGCCAGGGCTGGCAAGGGGCTGCGGGGGGTTGCATCTGCCTCTGGAAAGCAGGAGTCTCAGGTTTTGTGAAGCTGCTCTCTCTAGGTGTCCTGGAGAAGCTCTTCTCCAGGGCTGGTGAGCAGGACAGCTTGGAGTGAACCACCTACCAGGGGAAGGTTCCTGGGGGTGTTGGGAGCCTCATCTCTCTTTGGGAGGGTCAGCCTGTTTATTACAAGACCTGGGACATGGGAGGCCAGAGAGGAGGTGTTCCTCTTCCCAGATGACCCATTCTTCTGGAAGGAGGGGAAGTAACCGTCTGTTAGCTGGTAGCAGGGATGCCAAACAAGGGTTGAAAGCAAAAATAGAAACGCGTTGGGCTCTGTCTGGGAGGGGCGTTGAGTTCTGGTGGATCTGAGAGGCCTCTTCTGAGCTGTCTGCTGCTGACACCGTGTTTGCCTGGCTCTGGGTATTTGCAGAGCACGTCACGTCCTGCACTCCTGCCCTCCTTGGGGAGAGACCTAGGTGTGCAGGATGTGGGACTGTGAGCTCTCGGGGCTGACAGCTGGAAGGCTTTCACTTGTTCTAGAGTCTGTCTTTCAGAGAGTCTGAGTGTCTGTGGCTGCCCGTCACTCATGCACCATTGACCTTTTCTGATTGTTCTGGGTTGATCCAGATTACTACCCTCAACAGAACTCCTTTTGGCCCTGATGTCGCCCCTGTGGGTTCCTTCTCTTCCCCTTGCTCCTACTTCCTGCCCCCCGTGAGGCTAGTCCCAGCCGAGCAACTCTAGAGTCATCCCTTGTGGTAAAAAGAGCTATTTTCAGCTTTCCCATTACTGCCCAGTTCGGGTGTGTGTGTGTGTTTACCCCTCGCAGCCTCTGTGTTTCCTTCTTATATAGTATAATCTGGAGCAGTGATGAGAGCTCCGCCTCTGGGGCTTTGGCTGGCAATTCCTGGCACTGTGCTTTGGCACCAAATGGAGGGGCCTGGGGGCAGAGGCAACCTTGGGTCCCATCTTTGCTCAGTTGCAGTCCAGCAGTGGCAGGTGGTATGAGTCGGATCACCTGCAGGGGGTCACATTGGCTCTTGCTGGCATGGAGTGGGGTGGGGAGCTGCTACCCTCCTACTGTTTGCTCCAGGCTAATGGCAGCCTTTGATGCACTTCCCAAAAAGCTGGTCGTTTCATTGAGGTGGTGGTCTTTGAAAGAGACCCCAGCCAGGCGTGGTGGCTCACGCCTGTAATCCCAGCACTTTGGGAGGCCGAGGCAGGTGGATCACCTGAGGTTGGGAGTTTGAGACCAGCCTGACCAACATGGAGAAACCCCGTCTCTACTAAAAATACAAAATTAGCCAGGCATGGTGGTGCATGCCTGTAATCCCAGCTACTTGGGAGGCTGAGGCAGGAGAGAACCTGGGAGGCGGAGGTTGCAGTGAGCCGAGATCGTGGCATTGCACTCCAGCCTAGGCAACAAGAGTGAAACTCTGTCAAAAAAAAAAAGAAAAGAAAAGAAAAGAAAAGAGACCCCAGCGTCCTTTGAGGAGTCTGATTCCAACCTGGCCTCCCGTTGCCTGGGTAGGTGCCTGGACCTTGAGCCCCTATTCTCAGCTCTCTGCAAGGGGGTCCTGCCATGAGCAGAAGGAATGCCTCCTGCTGTCCTGTCTTTCGGGCTGCCCTCCTGGGGAGCCTGCAGGTGGCAGAGCCTGTTGTGGCACAGTGGCAGGTGCTACGGGGAACTCGTTTTAGAGGGAGGAGAGAGCCTCCTCCTTATGGAACAAGAGTCTGGCGGGACATAGGGGGGACAGCTGGGCCTTGGGAGAATTGTTCCAAATAATTCAGAACTGTTGGGAGCCTAATTGGCAGAGCAAATGAAAGTACAATAGATAGCCAAAGCTATTAATCACTAATTATCTCCTAAATAAGGTAATTAATGGGTATTTAAATGGCATATTTATGACATACCAGCAGGTCTTCAAAAAGCACATTTTCCCCAAAGCAACTGGTTTGGCCAACTGTGCCCTGCTTGGAGACTCCCCTTACCCCTAGAAACAGGCGGCATGACAGGAGGCACATCAGTTTTCTCCTCTGAGCTTCAGTTTTCTCATCTGTCAACAAGAATCGTGAGTCCTTTCTTACTGACCTCCCTGGGCTATCGTGAAGACGACAGGCAGCAGAGGCTGTGGAAATCCCAGGCAACCGGATGCAATGCTGTACAGACTTTTTTCTTTTTTTTTTTTGAGACGGAGTCTTGCTCTGTCACCCAGGCTGGAGTGCAATGGCACGATCTCAGCTCACTGCAACATCCACCTCCCGGGTTCAAGCAGTTCTCCCTGCCTCAGCCTCCCGAGTAGCTGGGATTACAGGCATGTGCCACCATGCCTGGCTAATTTTTGTATTTTTTAGTAGAGATGGGGTTTCGCCCTGTTGGCCAGCTTGGTCTGCAACTCCTGATTTCAGGTGATCCACCTGCCTCCGCCTCCCAAAGTGCTGGGATTACGGGCGTGAGCCACCACAGCTGCCCTGTACAGACTTTAGAGTGAACATATCCTTCAAGTTATTTGATACAAGCCCTTGATTGTGCTGGGTGCCATTGTGTGGCCAGGGTCAGGGCTTAGTCTTTGGCTAGCAGTGTTGTTGCTCTGTGACTGAGTCAAGCTGGGTCTGTGGTCAGGTTCGTGGTGTGGTTTGAGACAGGAGTTGTGGCCTGGCCTGTGGCCATGGTTGTAACTCGGTCTATGGCCAAACTGAAAGTTGAGGCCATGGTTGAGGTTGAGGTTTGGGCCACGGCTAGTCTCAGACCTGAGCTGTTCTCAGGACAGTTCTGCAATCTGAAGTCAGCCTCAGTCTTTAAGTGCATTACCGATGGATGGATGATCCCCTCTGGTTGCCCTGGAAGCTGGATTTCTTCCGGGGTTCTCCAGGATGTTGGCTTCAGATGCAGCGTACTCGGGCAGATAGGCCCTTCCAGGGCTCCTGGCGTGTCCCCTGAAACAGACGAGCACATGAGCTCATCGGTGGCACATATAGCAGTTTGGGAGATAGTTAGGACATGTTTCTATAGCAACCAACCCCCAACCAGTACTGGTTTCCTTCAATAATGCCTTTTTCTGGAAGCAGCTTCTCCTGGCCTCTCATCTCTCCCTGGACAGCCCCCCTTCAAGGCTGAGGATAGGCTGGCTGGCCCTGGACTGGTCTGGTCTCCAAATTCACCCTGATCCAGAGAGGAAGCCTGAGGACATTCCCTCGGGGATGCTCCCCTGAGAGGGGGCCTTGCTAAGATCTCCCCTCTGCTGGGCCACACTGAGCCTGACAAGAGCCTTCTGTGTGCCCAGCCCTGACCTGGCACAGGATAGGAGCCTGGAGAGGATTCCTACCAGGTGTCTGCTCAGGGGGAACCCACAGCCCAATGGGGCAGGCAGGCCTGGACCCAGTCTGTAAATAGGGACTCTGAGGGACACAGGTGCTGCACATGAAGGACCCACAAGGAGACAGGCACCCGGGCTGGCCTCAGGGGCCAAGAAAGACTTCCAGCTGATGCTTCAAGCATCAATAGGAATTGGGGGTGGGATGGGGAGATAGAAGACGTTTCAGGCATCAGGACCTGCAGGAGGAAAGGCCTGGAGAGGAAGAGGAGCGTGGTGTGAAGGCTCTACTGGTGGCAATGTGCTGCTGAAGCCCAGGCTGCTGGAAGGAGAGGCTGGGATGGGAGAGCAGGTCCTGGCCTGCAGTAGTTCAAGTTTAGGGAGCAGACAAGGCAAGCCCCAGGGACCTGCGATGGGAGGGAGGAGAGGGGGATTGGCCTCACGAGCGTGGGCAGGGGCAAGCATTTCCAGCCTTTGGGGAGTGGCGAGGCTCCCATTCCAGGGGCCCGAGAAGAAGGAGAGGGGTCTGCCCTTGGAAGTTGCCACGGATGAAAGAACCAAAGAAAAGCTCTTGGAGAATCACAATTTATTATTTTATTTAACACGCCCTTTTATAGCACTGATGGAGTCTCAGGCACTCTGCTAAACCGTTTTGAAATGTTTGTTCATGTAATCCTCACTGCGACACTATGTAAGCATGATTATCCTCCCCGTTTTACAGAGCAGGAGACTGAGGCACAGAAGGGTTTCCTGTCATTTAGTAAGATCACGAATTGGTAAGTGGCAGAACTGGGGCTGGAAGCAGTCAGGTGGGAGCGGGATGGTGGTTTCCTCGAGGGAGGAGGAGGCACGGAGGAGGCGGGGCTTGACAGTCACCTGCCTGTCCGCAGGAGCCTCGGCCAGGCTGTAGGAAGCACTGCACTCCACATTCTGCGTTTGGACCCCAGGGACCCCAAGGCAGAGCTGAGAGCACTGAAGTGTGATTCTAAGTGCATGTGTGCGTGTGTGTGTGTGTGAGTGTGTGTGTGTGTGTGGCTGCATGAGCCACATGTGTGCTCTGGGCTCTATGTGTCTACGGGGCTCCCACTGCCCATGGGACATCCCAAGGCCTGATTATTTTCAGCTGCATCAGCCGCCAGGAGTTAGACCCTGATGCTTGTGCTTGTAGAACCTGCTGTTCTCGTGTATGTGTATGTGTGTATTTGTGTGTGTGTGTGTGTGTGTGTGAGAGAGAGAGAGAGAGAGAGAGAGAGAGACACCATTCAAATGAGCCTCAGCCCTGCAGCCAGGCACTGCTCTCACTCTTGGCTCCTCTCCTTTTCTGTTTTTTATTTTATTTTTATTTTTTTTGAGACAGAGGCTCACTCTGTTCCCCAGGCTGGAGGGCAGTGGCATGATCATGGCTCAATGCAGCCTCAACCTGCTGGGCTCAAGTGATCCTCCCACCTCAGCCTCCTGAGTACCTGGGACTATAGGCACATGCTACCCTGCCAGGCTTGTTTTTTTACTTTGACTTTTTTGTACAGATGGGGTCTCACTTTGTTGACGTGGCTGGTCTCAAACTCCTGGGCTCAAGCAATCCTCCTACCTTGGCCTCCCAAAGTGCTGGGATTACAAGTGTGCGGCACCATGCCTGGCCTCCCTTTCTTCTTCTGAGGCACAGATTGCTTAAGTCCATCCAGCATTGGCAGGCTGCAGTTTCTGATATAGCCGTAGGCAGGGCTGGGCCTAGAAGCTGTGGCCACAGGCCAGTAGGTGCAGGTGCCAGCCCAATGCTGTGCACCCACCAGGGCCTCGCTCAGGGGCACCTGTTCCTCCCTGGAGGTCTGGAAATTGCACGTGTTATCTGAATGTCCCTGGAGTCACAGCTGCCAGCAGACACCCATGTGCCCTCCTTTGCCCCGATGCTCCTTACCCTTGAGGAGAAAGTTCTAGATCCAGCTTTCCTTGGAAAGGGCTCGATTGTTTTGGCCTGTGTCTCTCCCTTCCTCCCACCTGCCCCAGCCTGGCCAACCCTGCCCACCCCTTCCTTGGAGGCTCATCTTGGCTTCCCCTCCCCCGGAAACCCTCTGGGTACCCTAGCCAGTCCCTGCTTCTGGGAGGACCATTTCCACTTGCCGCGGGACAGACATGGTGGGTGTGGAATTTCACACGGGCCAGGACGTCTGCTCCTCTGTTCCTCCTGTGCTCTGTGCAGGAAGCAGTGTAGGGCTGTGCCCCCAGGGCTGGCATTTCTGAGGGCAGGGACTGTTCCAGTTCAGCTCTGCCCCCTACTCCTTCCTTCCTGGCACCATCTGGCCCAAGGTCTGGCCCAGTAAGCATCGGCCAATACCTTTGTTCTGCATCTTACGGTCAGGGCGTTCCTCACTGTGAAATGTCTTCCCCTCAGACAGGGCTCCTGAGCATGGGGGAGGCATCTCCCTTCGCCTGAGGACTCTGCCCCTGGGGCTGGGGCTGCCTTGGGGTCCCTGATATAGAGCAGAACACACATAGGAGACGCCTGTCCATCTGTCTGCCTGTCTGTCTCTCTGTCCACCTAGTCCTATGTCCCTGAGTGGGAAAGATGGCCAGGAGGAGCTGACGATCTGAGCAGAGTCTTTGGCTGCACCCATGCTAGGGAGACCCAGGCCCATGACAAGGTCCAGGAGACCACCCTGGACCTGAGGTGGTGGGTATCGGGGCCAGGAGAGGGAGTGGGGATGGCTTCCAGCAGCCCCTCCCACTGAGCGGCCCAGCTCGGAGCTGTGCTGGCATTGCTGGGGTGAAGGGTCATTTGTTTCTCTCTAAATTGCTAGAAGAAGAGTTGGGATATTCCCCTTCTCTTTCATCCTGACTTAACATTTTAAATAAATGTAGGTCTGGGTGTGGTGGCTCACGCCTGTAATCCCAGCACTTTGGGAGACTGAGGTGAGCAGATCGCTTGAGCTCAGGAGTCTGAGACCAGCCTGGGCAACATGGCAAGACCCTGTCTCAATTAAAAAACAAAAAATAAAAATAAATAAATGTGGTAGTGAAGGTGGATGGAAGGAGGGTCTTCAGGAGGAGGTGGGCTGGGCCTTGGAGGACACAGATAGAGCTCTGAGGCCTTGGGGAGGGCCCCTGGCAGCTGCCTGGAAGCCCCTCAGGTGGGCTTACCCTGCCTCAATCCTTGGTCCTGTCGCTGACAAGGCCACCATTTCCAAGTGCCAGGCAGTGGGCTAGACGCTCTGGGGGCTGATGTCATTTAAATCTCCTAACAGTGGGGTAAGTATTATGATGCTCATTTTCCGGATGAGAAAAGTGAGGCTCAGTGAAGTTAACTTGCTTCAGGTCCTAGATTAGCCACTGGTAACACTGCACCCAGATTTGTGTTGTTCCAAAGCCCGTGTTCTAACCTCTGCTAAATTTTCACCCATGGCTGGAGCTGATTTACTTTGTGTGTGAGGGAGAGAGGGAGAGAATTATGGGAGTGTGCATGCATGCATGATTCTTAGGAACAATATTAGGAAGGGGGCTGGCAAGTGGGTAAGCTCACACTCCCCAAGGAATGTAGACACACACACAACAGCCAAGCAGACACAGGGACAGATGCTCGTGTAACACTAGACACCTCTACGCAGGAATGTAGACATCCATTTAGATTTTTCCCACAGACACAAGGATACCCAGACACTGATTTGTAGACCTGATGGGCAGATGGTTCTAGAACTGGGACAGCTGAGCCCCCCAGGGCTAGGGCCCCCATGAGGAGCCAGGGGCAGGCCTCTGGCCCCTTGCCCAGCTGGCCAGAAACAGGTAGAAGGGTTGCTATTTCCAAGAGAGCGGGCAATGGAGAGAGGAGGAGACTGAGGTCCCCCGCCCTGATCTCTTCCGCAGAGCAAACGCCTTCCTGAAACATCCCTGAGGCTCTGTTTTCTTAGCTGTAAGGTGGGGATTCAGTATGTCTACTTTGCTAGGCTTGGTTAGGATGACTTTAGCTAATGTCTGAAAAGCAGCTAGCAGACTGCCTGGCATGCCGCACTCACCAAGCAAATCATTTTTATTCATTTACTTGTTTGTCAAACACTTCCTGGCCCTCTTCTGTGTGGGACTTTGTGTTGGACCCAGAAAATGCAGGGAAGTGTAGGGCAAGGACCCACCTCAAGGACACTGCTTCTGAGCCTTTCCCTTGCTGTTCTGGGGTCGTCATGCCCACCTGCTGTGACTCTCAGGAACCTAGGTGGCCTCTAGCACATCTGACTTGTGGTCCCCTCCCCCAGGAGACTTTCTGACACTCTTCAGCATCTGTATTCCCCTCCTCTTGAAGTTTGCAGGTGATAGAGGCTTGGCAGTGGGAGGAGCCTTAAAACTCACCTGTTCCAAGCTTCCGTCCATGACAGGTCCTACCCTACCTGGTCAGGCTCCATTTCCCCTATTCCTGTCCCCCTTCAATCATTGGCCCCAGCCACATGGATTTCTTTCTGCCCCTTGGACACACCAAGCTCATACGGGAATTTACCCTTGCAGTTCTTTCATCCAGGAAGGCTCTTATCCATGGATTTTGCCCGGTCCATCCCACACATGTATGTGCACAAGCAGATGTGCATACACACACACACACACACACACACACACACTCTTAGCATATCTGGGTTTTCTTATTATTCAGGCCTCTGCTTGCCTGACACCTTTCCACAAAGGTCTTCCCCTCTAACCCCTCCTGAGACACTGCCCATTGCTTTTCTCCTTGTTGGAAATACGACCTTTGTTGTTTGCCAAAAAATCTGCATGCTGGAGGAAGAGATGCAGGGAAGAGTTCCCATGTTCCATCTTAACATATCTGTTTTTGCAGGTATATAACTGAGGTTCCCTGCACCCCAACACCTTTCCAGAAGTTTGTTGGGCAGCCCCTGCTGGAGGGGAGGGAAGACCTGGTATCCAGTATACATTTAAAAACCAAGGCGGGGCCAGATGCAGTGGCTCACGCCTGTAATCCCAGCACTTTGGGAAGCTGAGGCGGGCAGATCACCTGAGGTCAGGAGTTCGAGACTAGCCTAGCCAACATGGTGAAACCCCGTCTCTACTAAAAATACAAAAATTAGCCGGGCATGGTGGCAGGCACCTGTAATCCCAGCTACTTGGGAGGCTGAGGCAGGAGAATCTCTTGAACCCGGGAGGTGAAGGTTGCAGTGAGCCAAGATCGCACCATTGCACTCCAGCCTGGGCGACAAGAGCAAAACTCTGTTTCAAAAACAAAACAAAACACCAAGGCAGGTATACATTTTGAAAGCAAGTAGAATAATAGTAAACAAGATAAAATATGCATTTGAAAAGAATATATATTTTAACCACAAAAGAGAGCCGCAATAATAAAAGGGAGACATCATGTTAGTTCAGCATTTATAACTACAATAGGTGACAAAGTTCTTTTGATGTCTGAGGCTGAGTTTCCCCAACCATTTTCTCCCCACGGAAGTACAGATCCACACATTCAAGTCTGTCTGTTCTTTAGGCTGTAATTATCACATAAGAGACACTTGAGGAAGGAGGACATAGTGTAGGAAGGGAGAGGTTTTGGGCTGAAATTATCTGGGTTGTTTATTTGACTGAGGCTGGCTTTTCCTTCCCCGCCTGCAGAATGTAAGCTTTGCGAGCACCCAATCCTGTCCATTCCCCACAGTGTTCCCAGTTCCCAACACAGTGTCTGTGGAATGAGAGGCCCCTTTGATGCCTACCAGCCCCTTCCTTTTCTGCTCACCTGTAGCTGGGAGAACTTGCTCCCTCAAATGGAGCTGACTGGCCTCCCTGCAGCCTTTCCCTCTGCCCCAGACCTCCTGCTGGGACCCCTGCACAGGTCATCAGAGAGAATGCCTCTGCCTTTGTTCTCGGATGGATCTAAACCGTGCATGTATGAGGCCACCGCATAGAGGAGCCTCTCACTGGGCTCTTGCTGTTCAAACTCAGGAGCCAAATGGATCCAGATAAATCCTCAGCTGACTTTGTTGCTACTTAAACTCTTGCTTCTTACTATCTAAAACTCAGGAGCTGAACAGATGGGGATAATAGGACTTTGCTGACTATCCAAATTCTTACTTCTTAGGAACGGAAAAGACTGGGATAGCAAGGGATGTCTGTATATTAATCTAGCGTATTCACATAGTATGCAAATGTAGTAGATATGATAGATTTTATACCTTTAGTATCTGTTGATTGAGAAAACATACAGTTGATATAATTCAGGAATAATTTTAAGTGATTGTAGTTTTTGAATCACAGAAATTTTTATATACATTTGCTTTATGCCTAAGTATTTTGTGTGCGCTATTTTAAAGGGCGTTATCATTTTCAAATTTCAGTTCATTTCTTGTATCTAGGAATGCAATTGACTTTTGCATGTCGATCTTGTATCCTGCAATCCTGCTATACTCAGTTGTTAGTTCTGGTAGTTTTTTTAATATAGATTTTGTAGACTTTTTGTTTTCTGCATAGACAATTATGTCATCTGGGAATGAAGACAATTTTATTTCTTCCTTTCCAATCATTTCTTTTTTCTTGTCTTATTGCAATAGCTAGAATGTCCTCCACATACATTTGGAAAATCGTCCCATATCTGTGTTAGGAACACACAGTTATGGTGCATCTGAACTCTCAGACCCCCCTTGCAGTAAATCCAGGGCCCGAGGGTGGAACGTCAGCTCACACTGGTAGAGACAGGGGATCAGAAGCTTAGGGAATCAGCCTTGTACCTAGAGGTGACTACCGAGTTGGTGTTCACTGTACCCTCTGTCCTTTTGATGTCTCAGAATGTGCTTCTTACTGGGCTCCAAGCCATGAAGCACAAACTGGGTGTGTGTTTGGGAGTTTGTGGTGGGCCAGGCAGGAACGACAGGCAGGAGGGCTGTGTCCCTGGATGGCCTGGGCTGACCGTCTCCCTTCAGGAACAGTTTATGCTCTGGGATCTGGACTCAGGGCAGGGAACAGTGCCAGCATCCTGCAGGGTAGGGGGTGTGGTGAACTGGGACTGTAGCAGGTATCTCGAAGGACTGCACCATCAGGCTCACCTGGCAGTGGCTAGGGAGGATGTCCACCCCCCGCCCCATGCTTGTTTATTGTCAGTTACTGTGGGCCAGGTGGGCTCCTCCAATATCAGTCAGAGTAGAAGAGTTTCAAAGGACAGTCTCTGCCAGGATTCTCATTGTACAGATGGAAAAACTGAGGCAGGGGCATTGCTGATACAAGAATGCAGGTCTCTGAGGGACAGGACGTGTGTGCCTGGTAGTCAGGGCCAGTGAAATGCGAGCAGAAGTGTGTGATTTCTGGGCAGAAGCATTTAAGACTAGGTGAGATTTTCTGAGCTCTTCTCCCCTGCTTGGCCAGAACTTGATGTCTCCTTTTGGGCTGGTGACATCGTAAGGTGGTGGCACTTATGAGTGACAGCAATGAGCAGAGCTCCCTTCCAACCTGTATGTGAGTGAGAAATGAACCATTGATGTTTAAACGTCTGAGCTCATTTGTTAATACAGCAGAGCTTCCCCTGTGCTGACTGAGACGCTGCTTGGCAAAGTCACCTTGGCAAAGGCTCATAACTACCACCAGCCTCAGTGTTAGGACATGGAAAATGGGCACACGCATTCCTGCTCTGCTGCACTTACTCAGAGAGGTTTTTGAGCTTCAATGACAGCACAGGAGAGGGAGGGCTCTGTGAGGTCTGAGGCCTCGGAGGGAGAGGGCACAGATGTGCAGGATGCTAACTGGCCTTTAGTCCAGGGGGGTCTTGGGTCACCTCCCTCATACTGGGACAACATCTCAGGCTTGGTTAACAGATGTGTTCCCTTTAACAGGTGGTCCTCCCCCGGGCGGCGGTGCCCCCTGGCACCTTCGAAATGTCCTCAGTGACTCTGTGGAGAGCTCAGATGATGAATTCTTTGATGCCAGAGGTGAGTGAACCCCAGTCTCATATCACTGGCTGGGTGACCTTCCTAGAAGCCTCAAGAAGAAGATCCCATTTGGGGGTCCGCATCCCTCCCCACTCAGACGTGGTATCTGCAGCTCCACACTCCATACTTACCCATCCTGTGGATGTGCCAAGAGCAGGGGCTCAGCCTTCGTCTGTTCACTGTTTGAAATATTTGCTGAACCCCTCACATGTGCCGGGAACTCTGCTAGGTGCCAGGGATCCTGTGGCAATCAGTCGTCACATTGCTGCTCTCATCATACTTATAGCCTTGCAGGAGAGGCAGACATCCAAGAAAATACAATGACGAATGGGGACCATCGCCACTAAGTAAAAGTGCCGCTGCTAAGTAAAAGTGCCAGCTGTTGTAAGAGAGAACAGTCAGGCCAGGCGTGGTGGCTCACACCTGTAATCCCAGCACTTTGGGAGGCCAAGGTGGGTGGATCACCTGAGGTCAGGAGTTTGAGACCAGCCTGGCCAACATGTGTATTCCCTTAACAGATGTGTTCCCTTTAACAGGTGGTCCTGTGAAACCCCATCTCTACTAAAAATACAAAACATTAGCCGGGTGTGGTGGCGGGTGCCTGTAATCCCAGCTACTGGGGAAGCTGAGGCGGGAGAATCGCTTGGACCCGGGAGGCAGAGGTTGCAGTGAGCCGAGATGGCACTGCAGACAGAGCGATACTCTGTCTCAGAAAAAAAAAAAAAAAAAAGAAAGAAAAAATAAATGAGCCTCATAGATGCAGGGAGTGCCAGAGTGTTAGAAAGACTGTTGCCAGTGTTCAGGTGAGGGACAAGGAGGGTGGGGAAATGACCTCTGCATCTCTTCCCGGCCAACCCATGAGACATAGGAAGGAGCATTGTTGACGTTGGGATTGAAAGAAAGGGGCATCCAAAGGGGTGGACATTTCAGGCAGAGATCAGCCTTGAAGGCTCAGAGGCACGAGTACCCAGGCAGGTGTACAGGCATGGGAAGGTAGAATCGGTCTGGAATTGAGCAGAGAAGACCCTCCCTAGCCATGCTCTGCTGGGCTGCAGAGGAGTTGGGGAGAAGCACCAGGGTCCTGATCCACAGCCCAGGACAGTCCCTGGCTCTTGCTTGGCCTGCGTGGCCCCACTCTGGGAAGTCACCATATTTAGGGTGTTGACTTACTCCTGAGACGGAGCTGGCTTTGAAATGCTTGGCAAACGGGGTCTTGGAAGAGAAACAGACTACGTGCTGGGAAGACGTCAATACCCAGAGCGGGACACTTGGGATGTGGTCTCAGCCATGCCATCGACTAGTTCTGTGACCTTGGCGGGGCTTTCACTTTCTCTGGGCCTCAGTTTCCCTACCAGCTCTATGCCTCCAACAGTGGAGAAGACTCAGTTTGGGTGATTTTTAGGACATGTGGCTGGGAGGTGGGGAGCTGTCCCCCATTCTTGGCTCTGGGCGGGGAACCCCTTCCCTGAGGCCAGCCCTAAACCAGCCCATTTGGGGCCTGTCTCCCATGGGCGTCTAATTAGAGTGGCTGCTGGGGCTGAATTTCTCCATAGCAACTAACCCACAGTGAGACAACAACAGCTTCAATATTTTGATGCTTGGAAGACTTTCATTTAAAACATTTCTGCAGTTCATCAGGGCTCTGCGTTCCCAGCTGACGACAGAGGCATCTGTGGGTGGCGCGAGGGTCAGCTCTATCCCTTCGGGCCCTGCTCACCTGCCGTCCCTGAGAGCAGCTGCAGTGCTTCTCATGCTGACGGCTGTCTCCCTGGCCCCTCCATTGTCTCTGTCCTCTCCCTCCCATCTCACGGCTTGTTCTGCCGTGAAATCGGCCCCACTTCTCACTCCTCCCATGTTGGTGGCCCTGTGTTTTCTTTCTCATCATCTCCTTTTTTTTTTTTCTTTTTTTTTCCTTTTTTTTTTGAGATGGAGTCTCGCTTTGTAGCCCAGGTGGCGGTGCAACGGAGCGATCTTGGCTCACTACAACCTCTGCCTCCTGGGTTCAAGCAATTCTCCTGCCTCAGCCTCCCAAGTAGCTGGGATTACAGGCATGTGCCACCACGTCTGACCAATTTTTTTTTTTGTAGTTTTAGTAGAGACAGGGTTTCACTATGCTGGCCAGGCTGGTCTCAAACTCCTGACCTCAAGTGATCTGCCCGTCTTGGCCTCCCAAAGTGCTGGGATTACAGGCAGGCACCACCATACCTGGCTAATTTTTTTTTTTATTTTTAGTAGAGACAGGGTTTCACCATGTTGGCCAGGCTGGTCTTGAACTCCTTACCTCAAGTGATCTGCCTGCCTTGGCCTCCCAAAGTGCTGGGATTACAGGTGTGAGCCACCGCACCCGGCCACTTCCTTTTTTTCTTCTCCCTTTTTTCGGGATCCCAGACTCTCCCGTCTTTCCCCATCTTCTGCCTCTCCACACACCCTACAGGACCTCGTATATCTCTGCAGCCTCCCTCCCATCTGCCCTCTTCCAGAGCATCTGCATTCCTAAGCCACAGGATCCACCTCACAGGCTGCTGGGACCCTGTTTAGTTCTGATTTGCCAACTGCTAACCTCCTTTCCATTCCTCCCTGACCAAGGCCTTTGTGTGTTTCCTTGGCTCAAGGCAGTGAGAGGTGAAGCCATGCTTTCTCTCTCTCCCAGGGCTCTGGTCCAGCCCAGCCCAGCCCAGCCAGTGCTCTGTGTCTGGGACCAGGCCATGGGCTTCTGAGTATCCCTTGAGGGTCTGCTTCCCTGCCCTCTGCTCTCCAGCCCAGGCTGAACCCTGACCCTGACCCTGACCCTGGGTGTGGTCTCTGTCTTCCGCTTGAGCATGGCCTGGCATCCTGTGGCCTCAACAGTTCCAACTCTAGTTGTGGTGGGGCCAACACCATTAAATCCAGCCCCACTCAGACATCCTGCACCAGAGCCTCCAGAGCTCCCTGGGTTTCCCCCATGAGCCCCTCAAAAGACTCCTTGGCTGCCATGGATGTCTATTTCAACAGTTCCTGCACGTGTGGAGGTCTTCACAGGTGACCTTCTCTGTGTCTCCCTGCAGAGACCAGCTGGGTACTTGCAGCCAACTCCTGGGCTTCGTGCTGCCCTGGGTATGGCAGTCTCATTGCTGCCTGGGCAGCCTTCTGTCCCTGAGAGCTCCTGCATCTGTACTCCCTCCTCTGCCCATAACCGCCGTCGTGATCCCCCACCCCTGCCCACCTCAACTGATACAAAAATGACCAGAGGAATGAGAAACCAAGCGGCGTCTACACTGGAAGAAACTGCGTAGCTAGGTACCAGCACTGACTGGACCTGGGAACAGTGTATCTCCTTCCTCCTCAGTGCACTAATAGGGAAACTGAGGCCACAGCACCAAAGGGACCCCCTGCCCCCCACCACCACCAGATCACACATCAAGGTGGAAGTGCAGGGGCTGGAACCCGGGAGTTTAGTGTCCAGGTCAGCCCTTTCCCTTTGATGTGTTACCGATTAGGACCGTCCTCCCTCCCTTGCAGCCATCAGCCCCAACCCTTTGGCCTGGCAATGGGGTTCACCTGGAGAGGCCCTTGGAGCTCATGGTCTGGGAGCAGAGAGGAGTTCTGGGTTCTGGGGGTCTCTGGTTCTGTATGGAAGGCATGGGAGGGATTAGGGAACAGTCAGGCAGGAGTATTGAGCTCTCTGGAACCATAACAACTCCTCGGCAGGGTGCCAGCTCCTCTGGCTAAGGTGGCAGGTCTGGGGCTCAGGAGTGATTAGATGCTGCAGGGTGGGCTATGGGGTCCAGGCTCCCAGATTCAAAAGAAGTGTCACTCCCTCCCCTGTCAAGACAGGATATCTGGGGGGCCACAGCCCAGCAGTGCCGAGGTTGGAAGATGCAGGGTAAGGGAAAACCCAGAGTGGCCAGAAGGGGATGTGGCCTCCAACCCAGAACAAGCCAGAGCTGGGAGGCTCCTCAAGGTTTTTGAATCTAACACCTCTGACTCACTTTACAAGCTGGGAAACGGAGGCTGGGGAACCTTGTTTAGGGCCACACAAAGAGGCAGAGCGGGAGCTAGAATTCAGCCTCATTCATTTACTCTGTCCACAGTATTAATGGTGCGTCCGTCCATCAAGTGCCAGGTGCTCTTCTGGGTGTGGGGGATACAGGAGCAAGCGAGTCCTGCCCCAGCCAATGGAGCTCATAGCCTAGTGGTGGTGGTAGGTGACAAATAGGAAGACAATACACAAGCAAATACATTCTATTAAGAATTACCATAGGCTGGGCACAGTGGCTGTAATCTCAGCACTTTGGGAGGCAGAGGCAGGCGGATCACGAGTTCAGGAGTGTGAGACCAGCCTGGCCAACATGGTGAAAGCCCGTCTCTACTAAAGATACAAAAAAATTAGCTGGGCATGGTGACACACACCTGTAATCCCAGCTACTCAGGAGACTGAGGCAGGAGAATCGCTTGAACCCAGGAGGCAGAGGTTGCAGTGAGCCGAGATCATGACATTACACTCCAGCCTGGGTGACAGGGCGAGACTCTGCCTGGAAGAAAAACAACAACAACAAAACACCATAAACAAAATAACACAAAGGAATAAATGCTGCACCAAAGCAGATATATACATGGCAAGTAAGCATGTGAAAAGATGCTCCACGTCATTCATCATTAGGGAATGACGTCATTACTGTAAATCAAAACTGCAATGAGATACCAATACCTACTTATTAGAATGGCTGATTAAAATAACTTACCAGGGGCCAGGCATGGTCGCTCATGCCTGTAATCCCAGCACTTTGGGAGGCTGAGGCGGGTGGATCACCTGAGGTCAGGAGTTCGAGACCAGCCTGATCAACATGGAGAAACCCTGTCTCTACTGAAAATAGAAAATTAGCTGGGCATGGTGGAGCATTCCTGTAATCCCAGCTACTCGGGAGGCTGAGGCAGGAGAATAATTTGAACCTGGGAGGCAGAGGTGGCGATGAGCTGAGATCGCGCCATTGTACTCCAGCCTGCGCAACAAGAGGGAAACGCCGTCTCAATAATAATAATAATAACTTACCAAGATGTGGAGGCACTGGGACTTTCAAACTCGGCTGGCGGGAATGTATGATGATACAATCATTTTGGAAAATTGATTGCAGCTGCTTAAGAAGCAAATCATACTTCACTACCATGTGACCCAACCCTTCTGCTTGTTGGCATTTCCCCAAGAAAAAGAAAGCATTTGTCCACCTGAGAACTTGCTCATGAATGTTCCCAGCAGCTTGATGGATTATAGCCCCACACTGAAAACGCCCAAATGAGCATCAGTGAGTGAACAAATTGTGGTACAGTTAAGAAGGAACGGACCACGGATATATGCAACAATATGGATAAATCTCAGAATAATCATGCCAAGTGAAAGAAGTCAGACTGAAGCAGAGTACATCCTGTATGATTCTATTTATACACAAGTCTAGGACATGAAAACCAATCTGTGGTGCCAGGAGCAGATCAGCGGTCGCCTGGGGATGGGGAGTTGGGGGAGGAGGGATAAATAGGGGCAGGAGAGAACTTCTAGAAGGGATGGAGCCTTGTTCACTAGCTTGATTGGGGTAATGGTTTTACAGGTATGTACATATGTCAAAACTTACCCAGCTGTGCGCTTTAAAGGTGTGTAGTTGATGGAATGTCAATTATGCCTCAGTAATGCTGTTTAAAAAATGGAGACTGTCCCCACCATATAACATAAAAGGACATGATAGAGTGGATGGCTGCTAGAGGGTCCCTGGGGTGTGGCCCTGAGCTGAGAGCTGAGTAATGAGAAATGAGCCACCTGCGAATCCAGGGGGAAGAGTGTTCTAGACAGTGGGAACAGCCAGCGCAAAGTGTTGATTGGTGGAATGAGCTTGGCATCTTTTTTTTTTTTTTTAGACGGAGTTTCACTCTTGTCACCCAGGCTGGACTGCAGTGGCACAGTCTCGGCTCACTGCAACCTCTGCCTCCCAGGTTCAAGTGATTCTCCTGCCTCAACCTCCCAAGTAGCTGGGATTACAGGCATGTACCACCAGGCCCAGCTGATTTTTTTTGTATTTTTAGTAGAGATGGGGTTTCACCATGCTGGCCAGGCTGGTCTTGAACTCCTGACCCCAGGTGATCCGTCCGCCTCAGCCTTCCAGAGTGCTGGGATGACAGGCGTGAGCCACTGCACCCAAGCTCGGCATCTTTGAGCAACAGCAGGAAGGCTGGTGTGGCCAGAGTGAGCCAGGGAGGCACTGGCTCAGTGCTGTGGGTTCACAGCCCCAGCAAGGAGAGAGGGGGCAGACTAGACCCAGTAGCCCATATTGTGGAAGGCAGTGGGTGTCCTCTGGACACGCTTTCCTGGCCAGGCTCAGGGTTGGCCCTGGGTACCCCGTCCCTGTCCCAGAGAAGGCCAGAGATGCAGAACTCAGAGTCCGTAGTGCAGGATGGATCCTCAAAATGGAACCATGCCTGGACCTTGAGTGAGCTCCTTATTGTGAGGGATGAAGATTGCTGGGTGACAGGTAGTCTGGCCAGAAGCCATGGGTAAGAAAAGCTTAGTGGACCAAGGAGGATGGGTTGACATGTTAGAGCAGCCCAGGTTTCCCAGGGTTCCTGGCTATGAAACGCTAAGTTCTAGAGAGAAAAATGAAACGGTCTTTTGAAGTCTTCATCCCTGAAAGGATGCAAGGTTGGGGCTAGTGCAGTCACTGTGGTATTGGTTGAGTTTATTTGGGATTTGGCTGGATATGCCAAGACTAGCTCACTTTGTGTTCTGTTTTTATAGCAAAATGTATGTCTTCATTTAGAAAATATCAGCTGCATCCTTCACTTTAACCTTAGATGGAAAGAATAATCCAATTATTTGGATATTGGAAATAATTGGAACAATATCCAATTATTTGTACCAGCAAACATCTAGGTACAAACAGAGGTGGTTTCATGAAATTAACTGCCAGGAGATAGTGTTACTGGGAGTGCCTTTAATTGGCAGGATCTCGATTCTTGGCCCAGCCCTTCCCCTGAGGTTCTGCATGGCCGTGGGCCAGTGGCACAGCTCTGTACCTGTAAAATGAGGATGCTGGGCTTCACCTGGAAGGATCTGTCAATGAGGCTCCCCATGGCCTTGCAAGGCTCTGTTGGCTGTGGTGTCCAGGTCCATTCCCTCACTTGAATGGGAAATACTTTTCTTTCGGTTTCCCAACCCCCTCCAGCATCTAAATAGCCCTCCCTCCATGAATATGCATAAGCAGGCCAGGCCCTGACAGTTGCAGAGACAAAAATGCCATCAGGGCCAGGAATGGGCTGGGTATGGTGGTGGTGGTGGTGGATCTAGGATTTACTCTCAGGGCACGTCTGGCACTGGGTAGCTGGATCAAGAGCAAAGCACAAGACTTGTCTCCTTCAGCAGGGCTAAGGGAACTCTCTGAGCTAGAAGCTGGAGGAGTCCTCCTTTCTGCATTTACCCCCATGTCTTTTGTGTCCTTGGTTTCTTGCTCTCTCAGTGGCCAGCCTGGCTGGTCCTCCCCTCCCCCACTCCCCAAGGTGGGAGGCTGGGGCCTGAGGAGCTGGGTTCTGTGTTGCGGAATCTGCTTGTGCCTCTAACTCCTGGTTTCCCATAGCAATTGGGAGAGGAAGGTAGTGCACGGCTAAATCATCCCATTTTACAGACGAAATTTCAAAGTCAGGGTCAGGTCTCACAGAGAATGGGGGGCACATGCCAAGCCTTCTCATTTTGATCTGAGCTTTCCCTGTGATCACTCAGCCTCCCGGCAGTTTCCAACCCCAAGGGTGAGAGAAGGGGGAACAGAAGAAAATGATATGTGTCCTCTGGGCATAGAGGACCAGGTTTCCATGATAGTTGTCACTGACTGTCTGCCCTCTGATCTCAGGCAAGTCTTGGGTCTCTGAGCCTCAGGTTCCTCATCTGTAGAATGGCAAGGGTAGAACTGTTTGTCTCCTGGAGGGAGTGGAAGGATGTCACCGTGGGAAGCTGCGTGATTATTCCTGGGCCAAGGAGCCATCACAGAAGCAAAGCACAGGTGTGCCACAGGCCCCCACTCTCCCTCTACCTTTTCCCCCATTGGGGGAGGGGAAGTGGAAAAGAGAACGCCATGGAACCAGCCCCAACATGTCTGGGGATGGGCTGTGTGGGGACTGCCCCTCACAAGGAAGAGGGAGTCATGGTATTGGCTATAGGGGGGCCATGGGGGCATGTGGTAGGCAGTGCAAGGTGAATGTGAGCAATCTTGTGGTCCAGAGCCCCAAGCAATGCATATCTAGGTCCTTGGAGAAATCCATGTTGTGGGCCTGATGATGAGTGGTACTGGATGGGCCATCTGCAGAATGTGACCAAGCCCTCGGCTCCATGAGCTGGAGGTGAAGCTTTCCTGGCATGAGACAAGGAGATTTTTTTTTTTTTTTGAGATGGAGTCTCACTCTGTCACCAGGCTGGAATGCAGTAGCACGATCTCAGCTCACTGCAACCTCTGCCACCCGGGTTCAAGCGATTCTTCCACCTCAGCCTCCTGAGTTGCTGGGATTACAGACACCCGCCCCCACGCCCAGCTAATTTTTTGTATTTTTAGTAGAGATGGTGTTTCACCATGTTGGTCAGGTTGGTCTCGAACTCCTGCCCTTGTGATTTGCCCGCCTCAGCCTCACAAAGTGCTGGGATTACAGGTGTGAGTCACTGCGCCTGGCCAAGACAAAGAGATTCTTTACTCTGGAGTCCTGTCAACAGTAGAAACAGAAGCTCCAGGATAGGAAGAAAGGCTTTCCTTATGGCATTGTAGGTTGTGCTTACAGGAGTAGAGTATAACCAGGTTTTGGTCAGGGTCAGAGTCAATCTGTGGTCAAGGCCAGGGCTATTGTGACAGTGGGTGAGGCTCAGCTTGGAGCTTAATCAGAGCTGGGTCAGGTCTCAGTAGGGTGAAGTACATGCTAAAACCATGTCCGAAGCAGAGGTCACCAGGATGAGAATTAGCATGCAGGAGACAGTCATCAGAAGGTGAAAAGCAAAATCAACCAGGGCGTTTATACAAATGAGCACGCTGTGGCCTCCACAGGTCCTGTTGGAGGCATGTCCTACAATGTGGGAAGCAGAGCAAAGACTTCAAGCTGAGCCCTGCAGCTCCCCTCTTTGCCTGAATGGCTCCAAAAGGAGATATTGCTGCTGCTGCTTCCGTGTGTATGTGTGTGTGTGTGTGTGTGTTCTTGTTGCTTCTCAGGGGACAAGCCAATTGTTGCCAGAGTGAAGACGTAAAGGCTGAGTGTGGGAGAGAAAGCATGTTGGGGAGTTGGGAGGGTGCACAGAGCAGCAGAGAGACAGGGATGGGCGGAGGGGCAGGGAGTGTGAGAATGCCAGAGAAGGTAAGATAAAGCAGAGAGTGAGAGGGAGCAGGAGGGAGAGAGGGCCACACACATATGCACACACATGCACATATGCACATACTCACACATGCATGTACACACTCACTTGCATGTACACACATGCACACAATGCATGTATGCACTCACACATGCATGCACACACATGCATGCACACACACATGCACGTGCACACGTGCACACACACATAGCAAGAGAGAACAGGGAGGGGAGGGAGAACACCCTTAGGGAGCAGGGGGCTGGAGAGATCCTGAGGACAGGGACCCAGAGAGACAAAAGAGAAATCCATAGAGAATGAGAGAGATCAAGAAAGAGACATACCCAGCCTGATAAGATGAGACCCAGAGAAAGGAAAGAGAGAGATGCTGGGGTGAGAAGAGAGCAAGGCAATGCATACGTGTTCCACCCAGAGAGAGATACGGATGTGGCAGGCAGCATGGGAGAGCTTGGGAGAGGCAAAGAGAACTACAAGGACCAAGAGAGACACAGACCCATAGAAAGGGGTCCAGAGAGCTCAGATCTGAGTGAGTCAGGGCCAGATGTAAAGCGTGAGAGAAGCACGGTGAGACTCTGGTAGAGAAGGACATATTTGATCGGAAACAGACAAAAGCCCAAAAGCCAAAGATGGAGCAGGGTTATACTGGTGATTAGGAAAAAGAGGAAAGTGGCCTGGGCCATGCAGGAGTAGGCATGCTCAGACCTCCAGAGCCCTGGGAGACCCCACAGGGTTCCAGTAGCCTTGCATAAACCACTGGGACAGGACTTA
Source organism: Homo sapiens (assembly GCF_000001405.40). Classification (NCBI taxonomy): domain Eukaryota; kingdom Metazoa; phylum Chordata; class Mammalia; order Primates; family Hominidae; genus Homo; species Homo sapiens. The sequence continues at coordinate 6,527,860 of NC_000017.11, read as the reverse complement.
TGGCACTGTAGAAGAAAGCTAGGATGTGCTGAGTGCCTGCTGCATACCTGGCTCTCTTAGCTTATGTCAGAGGTATTTCTATCATGTTTTTCACAAAACTGGATTCCAGCAGGAGGGAGGTTGTGTCTCACCCTGCACACAGTAGGTGCTCAGGAATCTATTCACCGTAGATTGAATGCTAGAATGAACAAATGGATAGCTCCATGCTTGAGTAACTGAACCAGGAGACAAAGAACTCAAGGTGGTAATTGGGCTGATCCTGATTACCTCACTCTACAGCTGGGGTAGAATGTCATAGGGGCCAACAACAGCAGGAGTGGAACCAAGAGTGAGTGTGGGGCATAACACCCATGCTCCTACTGGTGGTGGTGGTGCTGGTGATGATGATACCATCATGCAATGGCATCTCAGCCTGTGCTTTTACTGTGTGTGGGGCACTCTTACAAACACCTTTACCTGCATCTTCTCACTTAATGCTCACAACAATCCAATGACAGAGGCCCTACGATGATATCACTTTTAGATGAGGAAACTGCAGTTGTATTGCTAGCAGATGGTGGGTCCAGGATTGAAAAAAATCAATCTAACATGAGAATTGAGCTCTTAACCTCTTCATAATTCTGCTTCCCGAAGAATAATATCACCTCATATTTGTTTACAGCACCTTGACTTGCGTCGTATTTTCAAATTTGCTATATTATTTGTCCCCACAGCAGCTTGCTAGACAGAGCTATAGACCCTGAGTCGTTATTGTTGTTTAAAAGATAGGAAAGCAGACACAGTGGTGGAGGGTGTGGAAAAGCACAAAGCTCACATGCAGCAGGATCTGCACTGGAACCTGGTCAGGGCCCTGCCCAGCACAGAATAAACCAGTTCCCAGATGGAACACACTGGGCTCAGGAAATTGTCCGAATGTGTGTGGTGCCTGGCTGGAGTGTGGGCAGCCAATACAGGATGTCCAGGGCAGGCTATCAGGATGGCAGGATTTCAGGACTCTTGAAATAGTATACCTGGTTTTAAATCCTGGCTCTAGCCAGTGACCTTGGGCAAGAATTACTCAGCTACTCTGTGCCTCAGTTTCCTTGTCTATAAAATGGAGATAATAACAATTTTACCTTTTTTGTATTGTTTTGAGAATCGAGTTAATATTTGTAAAGCACTTATAATAATCTCAGTGTATGGTAACGGTTAGATAAGTGTTGTTAAGTCAATCAAATAGATACATAAAATAAGACAGGAGGAGATGTCCTAACCAGAATTGGGGGTCTGGTCAACTGAGCTCTTGAGTGAATCAGAACTCTGGACAGCTCCCAAAGCTTCAGATGCACCATATTGATTCCTTCTGCTAGGTAAAGTTCTTTGGCAGTGAAATGGATCTCAACCCTTTATTCTTAATTATCATAAGCTTGGAGATTGTCCTCAACACCCTTTGATGTCTGTTCTGCGAGGGAGGGCACAAAGCTCTTCACCAGAAAGGCACATCTGTTTTTCGGCAAAGTATGGGGAGGAGAGCACACATGCCTAAGGGTTTGTCTTTGAAGAAATGTCCCTTTGTAGGATGAGGGATGGTACCAGATGTGTGTATCTGATGTGTGGGACCCAGGGCCTTGTATTCAGCGTGGTTATGGAATATAGCCCCACTGATTTCTCCCAGAAGACTCACTATGCTCAGACAAGGAAAGAACAAGGATAGAGACAGGGTTGAGGGGAGGAGTGGGAGAGAATGGAGGAATTAAGAGGGTCATAAAGTTCAGATGGGGGCTAAAGGTTCCATACAAGTCAAAGCTTCCTTAGAACCGGAAGGTTTCTTCTCCTCCAGTTACTCCAGAGCTGCTTCTGCAGCACACAAATCCTCATCCACTCAACTCCTGGTGGTGAGTTACTTCTCATGTGATGACATCATCATGATTGCTCTCATCTATGAGCACCTCCTCTGCACTAAGACCTTTACATCCATTATCTCATTTAATCCTCACAACACCTCTGTGGCCAGATCCATTTTAGTGATGGGAAAATCGAGGGTCAGAGAAGTCAGTAATTTAAAGAAAAACTGCTTGCAAATGACAAGGTTTTGCTCTTTCTTCCCAAACACACTGACTTTCAAGAGATACTGCCATCAGTGCTAGGAATGGTACTTTCTATGGGGTTTCAGGCTTTTTGTTACTTTCTTTTGCTGTTGCACGTGGAGGCCCAGTAGGGTACAACAGTACCTTCTTTCAATGATAAATCTCTGCAAGTCTTGTAACTGTCTAGCTACAGACACCTTCAAGAGTTGAGGTGTACCTCAACTCAAGGAAGAAATAGGACAAGAGAAAATGTCCCTCAGACATAAGCTCCTGATAGGGCTACCTATCCCTAGCTGCACCTGCTTCTGCTCACCGCTGCTTCTTCCCACAGAGGAGATGGCTGAAGGGAAGAATGCCATCCTCATTGGGATGAGCCAGTGGAACTCCAATGACCTCGTGGAGCAGATCGAGACCATGGGGAAACTGGACGAGCATCAAGGTGAGACTCTGCTTCTCTCATGACCAGGATGTGCACATAGGTGTGTTGCAGGGGGGGCTGTAGGGCTGGTGACTGGGGCTGGGGCTTGGGCCTTCTGTGAAGAGTCTATCTGCCTTGGTTCCTCCTTCATAGCATCCCTGAATTTTGCCACTTACAGGAACTCTCATGGGGACTTCTGTGGGGTTTTCTGTGGCATAAAAGCTCCAGCCTACTTCAACAGAGCTTCCTTTGTCCACAGAATGACTACCCCAGTGGCACGGGTGGTTAATGGCAGGTGCCTGGGTCCAAGCTCCTTGGACTGCCAGGTCTTTGGTATTGGAATCTGCTGAATAAGGAGGGTGACAGTTGGAGGAGCCTTTGAGCAGGACAGGAGCTGAGGTCTAAGGGGAGAGAGAAGGACAGCAGTGAGAATCAGGATTTCCTTTGGTGGAGTTGTTGAAGAAGGAGTATATGGCTGGGGATTAATCCAGGAGGCTTTCTATGGAGAAGAGTTTTGACCAGGAGTTTGATCAGCCTACAAAGCAGGCTGATTCTTTTTGGCATCCATCTATCCATCTGTTTGGCTATTGTTCATCACTAACAGGCTCATTGAGCACCTACTGTGTATAAGTGCTTGGCAGGAGCAACCAAAGGTGATTCATCTGAGGCCTCTGTCTTGTGATGTGTGACACGTATAAGTCAAGATATGTGGATCAGGCTTAAGCTGAGGGTGTTAGCTCAGAAGGGAGAGGCATGACTTTCAGGAGGCAGGAGAGGGGATCCAGGAAGGGCTCCTGACAGTGAAGCAATGGGGCAAGGCTTTAAAATTCAAACGGACAACGTGGCTGAAGATGTCGTAAAATCTGAGCTCACATATGGGAAACTGAGCTCAGAGATCTTCAGCTGAGGGCTGTATTTGATTAATGTTACAATGGAGTGAGAAGCAGAGCCAGGGCTAGACCCACATCTGGGATGCAGGGTGCTAACCTCTGTACCTGTTACCCTCAAGTTGGTTTCTTCCATCCCTCCTTCCCCACCCCACATACCACTCCTCCTACTTTATTTCTTCTTCATCTTCTCTTCTCCTTCCTCTATTGCTCCTGTCATTCGCAGTCGTGCTCTGGCCCAGAGTTGCCGAGTGGGCAAGGCCATGCTCTCAGGAGGCATTCAGTGAGATGGTCCTGGCCCAGCCCACGGGAACGGCTGCCTTGGTAGTGACCATCTTGCCCTGTTCCTGTTCCTTTTCTCATCCCCATCCTTGCCTCCTTGGTTCAGAGCTCTCCTTTTGCCAAAGCACTCATCCTGAGAAATGGGCAGGCCTGGTGTGGTCATCCCATCTAACCAACAAAGAACCCAGGCTCAGAGGAGCCACGTCTTGCCCAAAGTCCCCCAAGCTGGTGGCAACATCAGGCTCAGATTCCTGGTCTTCTGATTCCCAGTCCAGGGCTTCACCTCCCGGACTGGACTAAGGCTTGGCACAGTTCTGGGCCCCAACAAAGTCAGGCTCAAGGAACCATGAGTCTGAAAGGAAAGGCACCCTGTACCACTGTCCCATCCACGAGAAGGGGGGGCTCTGACTCTGGCCCCCAAGGGCAATCCAGAGACAACTTACCAGTCGTCATAGCCATGTATCTGCCAGTGGGTCCTTTGCTGCTCTTTCCTTCATCCCAAGAACCCCAGAGGGGGCCTAGAAGGGGTCATGGATTCTAGGTCCTGCCCCACAATAGTGCTTGTAGCCTTGAAAAGACAAATATGGATTTGTACCATCCATTTGGCCATCCCCTTCCCATCCCCCATCCCCACTTGTCTGCTAAAGAATGTATGACTCAGACCCAGTGAGAGCTAAGGGCAGTCGGTCAGGTGAGCAAGAGGCAGAGTGAGCTGGGAGGGCACTGGAGGGCAGGGGACGAGGAAGCACAGCGGGAGGTCCAGGACAGAGGCAGAAGCTGCAGTGCTGGAGTCAGAGAGGCCTGGGTTTGAACTTCAGCCATGCCACTCCATGGCTGTGTGGTCAGGAAAAGTCACATCACCTCCCTGGTCTTCTGTTTCTTCATCTGCAGAGTGGAGGACTAGTAAAAAAGCTGTGATGATTAAATGAGATGATATTTGCAAAGTGCATTCGATAGCAGGTCATTCTTATAATGATGGAAGGGGGAGAAGCATGACCAATGTTGCACAAGTGGCAGCCCTCACAAATGCTTCCTGATGCTCATGAATGAAGGGCAGTGCTTACCTGAGTCCGAGGGTTGGTACTATTTCCTCCCAGTACAGAATGGGGAGCGGGAAGAAGAGAGGAGAGAGGGTAAGAGGAAGAGGAAACCAGCTGGATTTCCAGCTCCTTCCAAGTCCCATTCTCGTGTGAATTCATAATGTGAATTCCCACAACATGACAGAACACACACATTCATTTCAATAATCATTTATGGAGCCATCACAGGGGCTCAACCCTGTGCTCAATGTAGGGGGAATAAAGACAAGCAGGATGGCCTTGTCATTCCTGAGAAGCTTGCAGCAGAGTGGAAGCGACAGATCAGAGCCAGGGGTTACTATGCAGTAAGGCAGGCTGGGACAAGGCTCTGAGAGGCTCTGGGAAGTATCTTGGGGAAAGGAAGATCCGTGAACTCTTCCTGGAAAGGAATGCAATGGAAATTGGTGGCATAGACAGAGCAGATCCTCTTGTCTTCTTCAAGTTGCCTGCCCTTAGACACAGGACTCATTCCAGGCCCCCCTCCCCTGCCTCATGCTGGACGCTCTGGCCAGTCACACTGCCTCCATGGGTGCTCCAGCCACCTCGATGACAACTCCTTGCTCTATCTCCAGCCAGGACCTTTCTTCTGGGCTCCACACTCGCATTTTTGGTAACCTCCTGCTAACCTCTACCTGGATGTCCTAAAGACTCCTTATGCTCCACAAATTCCAAATGGAGCCAACCTTCTTCCCTTTAAGCCTGAATTCTGTTTTGTATTTTACCTTTTCTCTCCCTAACCATTTAAGTCATATATTTCATCAGCACTTTCAGACTGCTCTCATCCCTCCAGTTCTCAAGGGTGTTAATTCTGCTCTGTGTGTGTGTGTGTGTGTGTGTGTGTGCGCACACTAAATATACCTCATGGGTCTTCTTTCTCATTTGTGATTGTGAACTCATCTTGGTCACACATACCTCTCTTTTCTTTTTGGGGGAAGTCTTTTGTGCCCTAGGTTGGGAAAATGTCCTCATAAAGACCGGCCTTGTTTCCTGCTGGGCCTGAGTGTTTCACTAATCTTGAATATTTTATAGGCTAAATTTATAGTTTAGAGTTTCCATTCTACATGGGTGGTGTAAATTTAGACCCTACACCCAGAAGTGGCACAGGCTTAGGGTTTTAATTACTCATGTGTGAATTTTCTCTCTCACTGTCTGTGAATGGTTTCTTTGCCGCTTCCGCAAAGAAGGTTCTTTTTGTAAGTTCCTGTAAGGATGGAATGGCCCTTCAAGTGTCCCTGCTATAAAGTGGGTGCCACATCAGCTCCTTGCCATCCACAGGCTGAGGTCAGGTTGGTGGAGTTCACAGTGTGGTTTTTAGGCTCTGGCCCTGGAGCCTCTTTCTTTATTCGTCTGACTCATGGGATTCACGGATCTCCTCTATCTCAGCTTCTGCTTTCGTCTCTGGATTCCTTTTTTGTTTCTGGCACTGTGTATTATACATTTTTTATTTTAAGCTTGGTTATATATTTATCTTTTTTGGCAACATATTGCCCAGTATATATATATATTTTTTTTTAATGGAAAGGGATCCTTCAGCACCAGCTGAACACCCAGAAGCGTGTTGTTATTACTATTATTTTACAATTGTTCAAATATTATTATTTATTATACTATTATTATTTTTGCAATTGTTTGTCTTGTTATTTTTGTGTAACATTTCTTATTGTGGTAAAATATGCATAACATAAAATTTACCATTTTAACAATTTTTTTTGTTTTTGAGACGGAGTCTCGCTTTGTCACCCAGGCTGGAGTACAGTTGTGTGATCTTGGCTCACTGCAACCTCTGCCTCCCAGGTTCAAGTGATTCTCCTGCCTCAGCCTCCCAAGTAGCTGGGATTACAGGCGTCCGCCACCACCCCCAGCTAATTTTTGTATTTTTAGTAGAGACAGGGTTTTGCCATCTTGGCCAGGCTAGTCTTGAACTCCTGACCTCAAGTGATCCACCTGCCTCGGCCTCCCAAAGTGCTGGGATTACAGGTGTGAGCCATCACACCCGGCCCATTTTAACGGTTCTTAAGTATACAGGTCAGTGGCATTAAGTCCATTCACATCGCTCTGCAACCATCACCACCAACCATCTCCAGAACTTGGTCACTCTCTGCAACTGAAACTGTGCCCGTCAAACACCAACTCCCCATTTTCCTTTCCCCAGCCCTTGGTAAACATCATTCTACTTTCTGTCTCCATGAATTTGACTTCTCTAGGTACCCTACATATGTGGGATCATTCAGTATTTGTCCTTTTGTGTCTGGCCTGTTTGACTTAGCATAATGCTTTCGAGGTTCGTTCATCTTGCAACATGAATCAGTACTTTATTCCATTTTGGGGGCTGAGTAACTTTCCCTTGTATGGATATACCACATTTTGTTTATCCATTCATCTGATGATGGACGTTTGGGTTGCTTCCACGTTTTAGCTACCATGAATAATGCTGCTACAAACATTATAAATATCCACCTGATTTCTTAAATGTATTCTCATTGGAAAAAATCAAACACAACAAATAAAACCAAAGTCTCCTTTAGTTATTCCTTCAATTACAGACCTCCTTGTGGAGTTGATCAACGTATCTCTCTAGAGGTCGATGGTATTAGACATTAGTGCTGCAACTTACCTCTTCCCTCACATTTAACAGAAGATCTTGGAGAGCTTTTCATATGGGTATATATAGATTCACTCTGTTCTCTTTACCTGTACTATAATATTCTCTACTATAGTTGTACCATAATTTATTTAACCATTCTGCAGTGATAGACATTGGAATCTTTCATTGTTATAAGAATGCTTTATGGGTTTAAAGTATAAGCACTGAAAATTGCAATAGATACTGTCAAATGGTTTTCCAAAAAACAGTGCAAATTTATATTTGCACACCAACCATGGATTAAGTTAGCCATTTCCCCACAATGTGTTACCAGATTTGATATTATCAAACTTCAACATTTTATGTAATGGTCGGGTAAAAACGTTTTCTTGTTTTGCTTTGTCTTTACCCAGTTTCTAGTGAGATTGAACATCTTTTCATAAATGTGTTGACTGATCATATTTTCTTTCCTCTGAATTTCTTAAACATAATTTTTGCCAATATGCTATTGGATTGTTTATCCTTTTTATTGGATTTTAGGAGATCTTCATATATATTCTGGAAGTAAATTATTAGTCTGCTATATATTTGAAATATTGCTACTTTGGTGACATTTCCTGTTGGTTCTAATAGTTTGTCAGTTGATTCTCTTGGGTTTTTTCTAGTTACAGCATCACATCATTTACAAATCTTTTCTTTCTTTCTTTTTTTTTTGGAGACAGAGTCTTGCTCTGTCACCCAGGCTGGAGTACAGTGGTGTGATCTTGGCTCACTGCAACCTCTGCCTCCTGGGTTCAAGTGATTCTCCTACCTCAGCCTCCCGAATAGCCAGGATTACAGGCGCCCGCCACCATGCCTGGCTACTTTTTATATTTTTAGTAGAGATGGGGTTTCACCATGTTGGCCAGGCTGGTGTCGAACTCCTGACCTCAAGTGATCTGCCCGACTTGGCCTCCCAAAGTGCTAGGATTACAGGTGTGAGCCACTGCATCCAGCCTTGTTTACAAATCTTTTTTTTTTTTTTCTGAGACGGAGTCTCACTCTGTCGCCCAGGCTGGAGTGCAGTGGCGCTATCTCGGCTCACTGCAAGCCCCGCCTCCCAGGTTCACGTCATTCTCCTGCCTCAGTCCCCCAGTAGCTGGGACTACAGCTGCCCGCCACCACGCTCAGCTAATTTTTTTTTTTTTTTTTTTTTTTTTTTGAGACGGAGTCTCGCTCTGTCGCCCAGGCCGGACTGCGGACTGCAGTGGCGCAATCTCGGCTCACTGCAAGCTCCGCCTCCCGGGTTCACGCCATTCTCCTGCCTCAGCCTCCCGAGTAGCTGGGACTACAGGCGCCCGCCACCGCGCCCGGCTAATTTTTTGTATTTTTAGTAGAGACGGGGTTTCACCTTGTTAGCCAGGACGGTCTCGATCTCCTGACCTCGTGATCCGCCCGCCATGGCCTCCCAAAGTGCTGGGATTACAGGCATGAGCCACCATGCCCGGCCTACAAATCTTAACAGTTATATTTTTGCCAGCATTTACTCTCCTTTCTTATTTTTCCTTTTAAACTGCATTGCATGGGATCTCCAGGTCAATGCAGAGTGACAAGCGGTAGCGGGCTTTCTGGTTGGATCCTGACTGTAGTGCTGTGATGGAAACGTTCCAATGTTTTACCAACAAACATGGCCCTCGCCCTAGGATTCCAGAAATGCCCTTCATCAAGTTGAAAACAATTAACTTCCGAAAGTTATGACTTCTTTCTCATTCCCCTCATTGTTCATTTGTGTTTTTCCCCATCCCTCCATCTTTCTCTTTCTCTCTCATTCTTAGTAAGTTTTGCCAAAGGCTTACCTATTTCGATGGTCTTTTCAAAGAAATAGCTCTTACTTTTATTAATCAGTTCTATTGTCTACCGTTTTCTCTACTTAGTTTTTGTAAATTAACATTGCTTTTATTTCATTAATTATTTCCTTCTACTTCCTTGGAATTTATGTGATTTGTGCTTTTCTATTTCTAGAGATAAGAGCTTTTTAATCTTATTTTTTAAATGACACACGCACTGTTCCCTTCCAAGGGAGGGTCCTAGCAAGGTTACCTTTTTTTTTTTTTGCTTTTTTACCCATTACCTTTTTTTGGTAAAATTTATAAAAGTAAGCTTTTTTGGGGGGATAATCTTTTCCTTAAAAGGGGACCCCAAACTTGTATAACCTCAGTCCCCAGAAAACCTGCATCCAGCCATGTTGGACACATTCCACAGGGTTTGGATAAGTAGCCCCCTCACTGTCCATCATGTCTACATAGTTCAAAACCTCCACGTTCTCCTCTTTACCCAAAGAGCTGTTGAGAGCCATGTACAAGAATCCTGACAAATAGATTTTTTTCTTGTTAATTAGCAATTTGATTCCACTATGATCGGACAATGTGACCCTAACGTGATATCTTTTTGAAATTCTTTCTTGTCTAAACCCTGGTCTAGTGTGGGTGTGTGAATGTTCCTTATGAGTTAAAAAATATATACATTATCTATATACTGTATATGTTGGGTTATAAATTCTCTATAAAATTAAAGATATTATCAATACAGTTTTCTCCTTCCCCTTTTCTTGTTTTTTATTGACACCATCAAATTTCTTATATACCTCCTTTTTTTGTAGTTCTAGAAACGTACAGTTTTAACATACATTTGAAAACTGGTATTTTTGGCCAGGTACAGTGGCTCATGCCTGTAATCCCAATACTTTGGGAGGCCGAGGTGGGAGGATCGCTTGAGCCCAGGAATTTGGGACCAGCCTGGGTAAAGAGAGTGACTCCTACCTCTACAAAAAATTAAACAACTAGCTGGGTGTGATGGCATGTGCCTGTGTTCCCAGTTATTCTGGAGGCTGAGGTGAGAGGGTTGCTTGAACCCAGGAGGTTAAGGCTGCAGTGAGCCATGCTTGCTCCACTGCAACCCAGCCTGGGTGACAGAATGAGCCCCTGTCTCAAAAAAAAAAAAATTAAAAATAAAAACTGGCATTTTCTACCAGGGTTTGGATTAAGTCAGTAGCTCTATCTATGCTATCCCTGAACAGGGAAGGATGTTTGTACCTTTTTTCTTCCTTCTCTTCCTAACTCCCCAGCTCCCATGGCCCCTGGCCATTTGGTTTCATGTTGCCAATTCTCATTTCAACTTAATGATTAGTTTTGCTGTTTTACTTTTGGGGAGGGTTTTGTTTTCTCATCATGGTGGCTTTGGCAGTGACAACTCCTCCGCCACCTCCCCCTCCTTCTCATTCTATTTGGGTTAAGTATTTTGAGCTATGATTTATATTCAGTAAAATTTGCCCTTTGTAGCATATAGGTCTCACTGCTACTTCCTCAATTTCCTGACTTCTTCTTGGATTTACTTTCTCTTTTCACTAGAATGTCTCTGCTAGTAATTCTTTCAGGTAGGAACTGTGGATAGCAATTTTCTAGGTCCTTGCATTGCTAAACATGTCTTTATTTTGCTTGCTCATTTGAATGTGAGCTTATCTGCCTCCATTATCACGTTCCCAACTATCTCTGCAGCTATTCCTCCATGGCCTCTTGAATTTAGTGATGTTGGTGAGAAGTCTGAGATAAATTTGATTCTCATTCCTTTGTGAGTAATATGGTTTTTACTCTTCCTGAAGATTTACGTTTTTAAATTTTTTTTTCTTTCTTTCTTTTTTTAATAGAGACAGGGTTTCAACATGTTGCCCAGGCTGGTCTCGAACTCCTGGCCTCAAGTGATCAGCCCACCTCGGCCTCCCAAAGTGCTGGGATTACAGGCATTTGCCACCATGCCCAGCCTTTAGGTTTTTTACATCTTTAGTCCTTGTATTCTGAAATTTCAAGCGACGTTTCTGAGTAGGTTTTTGTTGTGGAGGTGTTTGTTGGTCATGCCATACCTGGCTGTGCTCTTTCACTACTGTGAAGCCTTCTTTTCATGATTTCTTCAAGTATTTCTTTCTTTCTTTGTTTTTTTTTTTTTTTTGAGGCGGAGTCTGTCTCTGTCGCCCACGCTGGAGTGCAGTGGCACCATCTCGGCTCACTGCAAGCTCCGCCTCCTGGGTTCACGCCATTCTCCTGCCTCAGCCTCCCGAGTAGCTGGGACTACAGGTGCCCGCCACCACGCCTGGCTAATTTTTTTGTATTTTTAGTAGAGACGGGGTTTCGCCATGTTAGCCAGGATGGTCTCAATCTCCTGACCTCATGATCCGCCCGCCATGGCCTCCCAAAGTGCTGGGATTACAGGCATGAGCCACGGCGCCCGGCCAAGTATTTCTTTCTCTTCCAGAGACTTTTCTAACCACACGTTACCTTGTTCTTCTTATTCTTATTTCTTGGTCCTTGGTGGGTTCTGAGAATATGCTTTGACTCTAACCAACAGCTCACCCATTTTCTCTTCATCAGTCTCCATTCTGCAGGTCAGCTCTTCTGTATTTTGTTTTGTTTTTAGAGATTGGGTCTCATTCTCCTGCCTCAGCCTTCTGAGTAGTTGGGACCACAGGCCTGCACTACCACACCTGCCTAATTTTTTGTAGAGACAGGGTCTCGCTGTGTTGTCTTGGTTGGTCTTGGACTCCTAGGCTCAAGCGATCCTCCGGCCTCAGCCTCTCAAAGTGCTAGGATTACATGCGTATGTCACTGTGCCAGGCCTGGGGTTTGTTTTTTTGTTTGTTTGTTTTTTAAAATCATCTTTTCATTTTCATGTGCTCTGATTGATTCTTTTGATTAGCAATCTGATCTTAATTCATGGAAGCATGGGCTCATGCTACATTTTTTAAAGTCTCCTTCTGCTTGTTTTAGAACATTTCAGAGTTTTCTGTAGGTTAGATATGGGTGGGAATAACTACACACTTAAGATTGGATTATTCAGCCAAAGATCATAGGTGAGATTACAACACAGAGCAGGAGACATCTTGATTTGAATGATCTAAGGAGGCACACAGCTGCCATTAACACTATTCAAGTGAAGCAGGTCTTGCCAAATTCTTTTTTAGAAGTTGAGATATAATTCCCATACCATAAAACCCACCTTTTTGTAAAATGTACAATTCAGTGTGGTTTTAGTATATTCATGAAGGGATGCAACTATCACCATTATCTAGCTCAATAATATTTTTTCTTTTCTTTCTTTCTTTTTTTTTTTTTTTTTTTGAGATGGAGTCTCACTCTGTTGCCCGGGCTGGAGTGCAATGGTGCAACCTCGGCTCACTGCAACCTCTGCCACCCGGGTTCAAGCGATTCTCTGACCTCAGCCTCCCAAGTAGCTGGGATTACAGGTGCCCGCCACCAGGTCTGGCTAATTTTTGTATTTTTTTAGTAGAGACAGGGTTTCACTATGTTGGCCAGGCTGGTCTTGAACTCCTGACCTCAAGTGATCCGCCCACCTCGGTCTCCCAAAGTGCTGGGATTACAGGCATGAGCCACCATGCCCGGCCCAAGAACATTTTCATTTCTGAAAAAAGAAACCCCATACCCATTAGCAGTCACTCCCCATTCCCCTTCTCCCAGCCCCTGGTATTTCATATAAATGGAATCAAACAATATATAGCCTTTTGTGTGTGACTACTTTCCCTTAACATAATGTTTTTGGGATTCATCCACGTTGTAGCATAAGTCAGTGCTTCATTTTGTTTTATGGCTGAATATTACTCCATTGTATGGATATGCCATGTCTCATTTATCCCAGTTGATGGACATGTGAGTTGTTTCTACTTTTTGGCTATTATGAATAATGCTGCTATAAGTATTCATATGCAAGTTTTTGTGTGGATATGTTTTCAATTATCTTGCTGATATACATAGGAGTGGAATTGCTATATCATATGGTAATTCTGTTTAACTTTTTGAAGAGCTGCCAAATTCATTTCCAAAGTAGCTGCCCCACTTTACATTTCCACCAGTAATGTAAAAAGGTTCCAATTTCTCTGCATCCTTGCCAACACTTGTTACTGGCTGCCTTTTTGGATATAGCCATCCTAGCAGGTGTGAAGTGATGTCTCATTGCGGTTTTGATCTTCATTTCTCTAATGACTAATGATGTTGAGCATCTTTTCGTGTGCTTATTCATCGTTTGTTTATCTCCTTTGGGGAAATGTCTACTGAAATCCTTTGCCCATTTAAAATTTGGGTTGTCTTTTTATTGTTGAGTTGTAAGAGTTCTTTAATGAATTCTGGACACCAGACCCTTATCAGATATGCTTTCTCCCATTTTGTGGGTTGTCTTTATACTTTTTTTTTTTGATAATGTCTTTTGGAGTACTAAATCTTAAAATTTTGTTGAAGTTTGGTTTATCTATTTTTTCTTTTATTGTCTGTCCTTTTGGTGCCATATGTAAGAAACCATTGCCCAATCCAAGGTCATGAAGATTTACCCCCATGTTTTCTTTGTAAAGTTTTATAGTTTTAACTCTTATATTTAGGTCTTTTATTCACTTTGAATTAATTTTTGTGTATGGTGTGAGCTAGGAGTTCTTTTGAGTGTGATTAACTAGTTTTCCCGGCACCATTTATTGAAAAGACTATCTCTCATCCATTGAATTGTTTAGGCAGGTTTGTCAAAAATCAATAGATCATAGACATATGGGTTTATTTCTGGACTCCTAGTTCTATTCCACTCAGGTGTATATGTTAATATGCCACACAGTCTTGATTACTGTACACCTGCAGTAAGTTTGAAATCAGGAAGTGGGGGTCCACTAGCTTTGTTCTTCTTTTGCAAGATTGTTTAGCTATTCTGTGCTTCTTGCACTTCCATATGAATTTTAGGTCGATTTCTGCAAAAATGCCAGTGGGGATTTTGATAGGGATTGTGTTGACTCTGTAGATCAATTTGAGGAGTATTGTCATCTTAACAATATTAGTTCCAATCCATGAACGTGAGATGTCTTTACATTTATGTAAGTCTTCTTTCTTTCAATGATGTTTTAAAGTTTTCAGTGTACAAGTCTTGCACCTGTTTTGTTAACTTTATTCCTAAGTATTTTAGTCTTTTTGATGCTAATGTAACTGAAATTGTTTTCTTAATTTCATTTTCAGACTGTTTATTGCAAGTGTGTTGAAATATAATTGAGTTTTGTATATTGATCCTCTATATTGCAACCTTGCTGAACTCATTTTTTAGTTTTATTTTTGGGGGGATTCTTTAGTACTTTCTATGCATAGGATTACATCGTCTTTGAATAGGTAGTTTTACTTTTCCCTTTCCAATCTGGATAGCTTTTATTTCCTTTTCTTATCTAATTTCCTTAACTAGAGTCTCCAACATAATATTGAATAGAAGTGATGAGAGCAGACATCTTGTTTTATTCCTGATCTTAGGGGGAAGGTTTTCAGTCTTTTACCATTAAATATGATGTTAACTATGAATCTTTTGTTGTTGTCCTTCATCTAGTTGATGAAGTTCCCTCCTATTTCTAGTTTGTTGAATGTATTTTTTACCATAAAAGGGTGTTGGATTTTGCAGGATTTTTTTTTTTTTTGCAGACATGTATTGAGATGTTCATGTGGTTTTTGTCTTTTATTCTATCAATATGGTACGTTACATCGATTGATTTTCACATACTGAATAACTTTGCATTCCTGGGATAAATTCCACTCAGTCCTTGACAAAACTTGTTATCTCACTATTCTTTTATGCTTGGGGTTTATATATCTCTTCTAGGATAATGTATACTAACAATCTATGAGCTATCATTTAAGGAATGATTTACAATCTAGGTTCTTCTTGTTCTTAAAACAAACAGTGTCAGCAAGGCCACGTTCTTGTTGACAGGAAGGAAGCAGTCACTGCCTGGGTATCCCTGATTAATTTCTCTGCCTCTAGCATTCCAGAGAGCTATTTTTTCCTACCATTCACCCCCTGACTCTGGTTTATGACCTTGTATCTCAATACACGCTTCTCAAAGAGTGGTCCCTGGACTAACAGCATTAACATCTCTTGGGAACTGGTTAGAAATGTGACTTTGGGGGTCACATTTCTAGACCCCTAGACCTACTGAATCAGCCAAACTCTGGGAGCGGGGCTCAGAATCCACATTTTAACTAGTCCTGTGATTCCGATGCACTAAAATTTGAGAGCCACTAATGACCATGACACTAAGTTGGTTTAAGGACTCCACAGGTCCAATTCCCTCTTCCCTTCAGTCACTGAGTTGGACATCTTCCTTCCACATTGTTGGCTTTTATCTAATATTTACTAATATTTGTGCACATGCCAGTTTGTGTTTGCAGTTCCCTGTCAGCCTATCTATCTCTGAGTGATAGGAATATGTCTGTTTACTGAAACCTGCTGTCATCGAATTATTGGAGAAGGTAGAAAATGTCACTGGTGTGAGTTGAGCCAGTTGCTTCTGTTTTATTCCTCTTGGGTATTTTCAGCTTTCCATGGTGTCCTGTCCTTCAAACACTCATCCTTTCTCACACTTTGGGACAGATGCTTTGCTTGGCATAAGCAGGGGTTGGGGGAGGACCAAGACACCTGGCTCCTCTGCTATGGAAGCCCAGACAATCGATCACAAGAGCTTTCTTTGCTTCTGTATTTTTCACCCATAAGCCTGCTGTTCCTTCTGTGCTGCCTCCATCACTGGCCACAGACCTTTCTTTTTTGAGATGGAGTCTCGCTCTGTCGCCCAGGCTGGAGTGCAGTGGTGTGATCTCAGTTCCTTGAAACCTCCACCTCCTGGGTTCAAGTGATTCTCCTGCCCCCCATGGCTAATTTTTTAAATATTTTTAGTAGAGATGGGGTTTCACTATGTTGGCCAGGTTGGTCTCAAACTCCTGACCTCATGATCCACCCACCTCGGCCTCCCTAAGTGCTGGGACTACAGGCGTGAGCCACTGTGCCTGGCCAAGCCACAGACCTTTCTTTGCAGGCTTGAGGTTATGGTTTTCTTTCTCCTGGGCTAGCCTTGTGAGCATTTGTCCTTTGCAGTCACACAAGGCTCCACACACTTGATTTTCTACTCTACTGTCGCCATCTTGAAATTTTTAATTAGTTTGAACAAAGGGACCCACATTTTCATTTTACACTGGGCCCTGAAAATTATGTAACCAGTCCTGCCTCCCTCCTTAGATCTCTCTGCCTTCTAACTTTTGGGGATGCCACACAGTTTCTGGTCTGCTAAGGACACTTCTTATTTTACAGTGCTACTAAAGATTAATTCACATAAAAATGCTTGATGTCATTTTCTAGGGATCTGGAGGAGGAGAAAAAGACTAGATCGTGTAGTCAGTTTACCATCTTTATCCAATCCTACCACGACACTTCTAAAATAGAAATCCAGTCCTATCATTCTGCCACGAAATTGGCAAGTAGGTCTTTGTTGACTGCAGTATGAAGTATAGATCCCCCAACCTGGCACCGAAGGCCATCCACAATGTGGTTCCAGCCTTCCTTCTAGCAATCATAAATTTCCAGAGTTAGTAAGTTTCCTATCACTACAGGAATCAAACAGCCCTGGGAGAGCTACCATGAGGGACATAAAGGGGCTGTCAAATTGTTGCTAAACCCAGTAATACCAAGGTTATCTCTGATTCTGATATTCATGGCTTCCTGGCCATCCCTCCCCTCCTCTTCCACCCCCACTGTCTCCTAGTCAAATGGCCAGGGGGCTGCTTGCAGAGAGATCCCTGGGCTCATGCGGAGCTCGTCAGCTTCCTGCCTTTGCCCCGGCTCTTCCCCTGACTTCATCTCTAGCTCCCACAATCCCATGCGCTGCCTCTGGGAAGCCTCCTTGATACTCCAGCCTCTCCCAGACCACTGTCCTCATGCCCAGCACAGCTGAGTTGGTCTCTTGTCTGTAGCACGGACCACTCTGCTGACAGCTGTGCTTTTCTGGGTGTGTCCCTTTCCTCCCTGTCTGAGCCCAAAGTGGTGAGGGGCTCACTGTGCACTCATACATTCCTTCCCTCACTTATGCATGCAATGCACAGGAATGGACACTTACTCTGTGTCAGACCCTGTGCTGGTCACTGCAGGGGACACACAGATGACTCAGAAGTGGACTCAGAATTGACCGGCTCCCAGACGGGGGTGGGGCAGTGACAGTCCAGTGAGCTAATTGCTCTAACAAGATGGGGAACAAGGCACAGAGGGCTGAAAGAGGAGGTAGCGCTGGAGCTGCCACATGAGGAGGTAAGGAGGCTTTGCTGGGGTTGGGACAGACCAGTGAGGGCAGAGGGAGCTGCAGGGACAAAGGTACGGAGGGAGGTGTGGGAAGCAGGGAGATTTGGAGAGTTTGTCTTGACTGAGGTTGGACAATCTATGAGGTTGTCATTCCTTAAATGACAGCTCATAGATTGTTAGTATAAATTGTCCTGGAAGAGATATAAAAACCCCAAGCATAAAAGAATAGTGAGATGACAAGATTTGTCAAGGACTAAGCGGAATTTAGCCCAGGAAGGCAAAGTTATTCAGTATGTGAAAATCAATCGATGTAACATACCATACGGATGAAATAAAAGACATGGGAAAGACGTAGAATAAAAGGTATGGGAAGAATGGAGATTTGGGGAGTTTGTCCTGTCTGAGGTTGGGGTGTGGAGCATTGGGCTGGGGGTGAGGTGTGGAGCTAGGGGGTGGTAAAAAGGGGTGGGAGGTCTTGGAAAAGAGGCAGGGGTGGAAAAGCTGGAGATGAAGGCCTTGAATGCCAGGCTGAGGAGTTAGGGGCCTTCTTGGGAGTGCCCCTGTGGATCCACTGAATGGTTTAAGCAGGGGAGCGGAGAGCCACTTTTTAGAAAGATTATTCTAGAAGCCAATGTGGAGGAGAACAGGAGGGGCCGGGGAATGAGTGCAGGGGCTTACGCTGGGCCAGGTGAAGGGTAATGAGCGTGAGTCTCAACCTGCAGCTCAGGGGAGGCTCCATGCTGGGAGTGGCCTGAGCAGGGAGGAGCATGCAGGGGAGGCTCCATGTTGGGAGTGGCCTGAGCAGGGAGGGAGCATGCAGGTCTTCGCTCCTCAGCCAGGCTTCATGAGCAAAGCCACCAGTCTGGCCCGGAGCCTGGCCAGGGCTCCCAATGCCCAGTAAGGGGAGAGCCCAGGGCAAATTCCGGCTTCAGCGGCTCCTGTCTCTGCTCCAGAGGGGCTGTTCCTGACACTTTCTGGTTTATCAGGAGAATTCCCAATTCTTTATTCTCCAAGGCCCCGTCTGTCTGAATCACTCTCTCCGCAGCCACCAACTCTCCAGTGTGATGCAGGAAGGCTCTCCTGTTTCAGAAGTTTGCCACACACTTTGCTGTTCTTGGCCACACACTTTGCTTCTCTTGCACTTGGGGAACTCATGATTTGTTGGGAGGGGATTGGAAGAAGAGTTATAAAATCACTCAGGAAACCGTTAGCGGGACTCAGAAGCATCTTCTCAGAAAAGATGATGTGGCTCAGCCTTCCAGGGCTGTGTGAGTTCAGGACAGGCAAGATTGGTGGGGCCCAGAGCCTGGGGTGCATGACAAAACTCTGCCTTCCCAGTTCCTTGTAGCCCATCCTGTCTGCAGGAGTTTCTGGCAGCTCCTCCACTTGAAACAAGCTCCAGCAGAGGCAAAGCTGTCAGGCCCATGAGCCTTGCAAAGCTCTAGGCTAAGTGGGGTCTCATTTAGGTGGCAGCTGAGCCAGCTGCACAGTTGGTTAATCACCCTCGTCCTGGGAGCCTGCTAAATCAGGAAGCCAGGTTCAAGCCGGCTCCTCCCTCGCTGGCGGTTTCCAGGGAAGATGGAGCTGGCTTGGACTGGGCAGGCAAGCCCGGCTTCCTACTGTCCGGGCGCCACACTTACCTCATCAAACAGCAGGCTTATTCCTGACCCCGTCGGTGGCCTCACCAGCCCTGGGAACCCTGGGATGCCTGGCTCAGGCTGCGCTGCAGGAGAGACGAAGCCCGAGGCAAACACCAGCCAGTCCCCAAGCCTCTGGACGCATCCTCTCTGCACCCCTTGCAAATGTCCCCTTCTCTGCTCCCGTCCTCCTCACCCCTCAGCCCCTGACTGTGGCAGCCTTTCGCTGTCCCATGCCTTCCTCCTCCAGGAAGCACTACCCAGGCTGCCTGAGCCGTCCTGGGAAGCCACTGCTCTAGGAAGCCCCCGACCAATAGGAGGCGGGGTGAAATTGTGGGAAGAGCCCTTCCCAGTATTGGGGTGTCCAAGGGACCAGATCTCAACGTTGGGGAAGTGACTTTACCTCGCTGAGGCTCAGCAGCCTTATTGCATAGGCATGGAAGCCAACGATTTCATGTGCGGGAAAGCACTAGGCAAGCCAGAAAGCACCTGCGTGCCCAGGTGCAGCCTTCAAGGCTTATGCAGCTGAGGCCGCACTCAGGGCTGGCTTTGAGGAGTCCCAGAGCTTGGTCCCGACCTCCTTTCTGACATTTTCCCTCTTCTTACCCACGTGAAGCTTGCGCACTGGCGTTTCCAGGACACTCACCTCCTGGCCTCTTGGCACCTGGGTCCCCGAGCTTCTTCCGGCCTCTGAACTCTGCATTCCCAGCAACCCCAGCTGCATCCCCAGCAACCCCAGCAACCCCAGCATTCCCAGCAACCCCAGCTGCATCCCCAGCATTCCCAGCAACCCCAGCTGCATCCCCAGCATTCCCAGCAACCCCAGCTCTCATCCTTGCCCACCTCCCCAACTTTCCCACCTCCCCACCTCTGGACATCCTGCCCAGGCTAAGTCATATTTACACCCTGGTAATGAAAGTATTGGATGGTCTGGAGAACTCATAAACTGTCTCCGTGAGTACCGACTATGGACTTGGCATGAGAATGTGGAGGTAATGACTCAGACCCGGCTCCTCCCTGCGCTGGAGTCCTCCCCTCCTCCAGGGCCTGACACATAGTAGATGCCCGAGAAATGCCAGAAGTGTCTGTGTTATAGTCAGGGCTCAGGGCCAGTGCTCCAGAGGGCTGCAGGTATTGGGTTTGCTGTTCTGAAGTCCGAATGGTGTTATCTTCAAGTCTGTGTTTTTGTGTTTTGTTTTTTTTTTTAAATGGAGTCTCACTCCGTTGCCCAGGCTGGAGTGCAGTGGCACTATCTCGGCTCACTGCTACCCCTGCCTCCTGGGTTCAAGTGATTCTCCTGCCTCAGCCTCCCTAGTAGCTGGGATTACAGGCATGCGCCACCACGCCCAGCTAATTTTTGTATTTTTAGTAGAGACGGGGTTTCACCATGTTGGCCAGGCTGGTCTCAAACTCCTGACCTCAGGTGGTCCACCCACCTTGGCCTCCCAAAGTGCTAAGTTTACAGGCGTGAGCCACCATGCCCGGCCAAGTTTGTGTTTTGTGAGTGAAGTCTGACGGGACAGTGCATATGTGTGGGGGTACTTGGTGGGCGGCTCTCACATGGTCCTGCCTCCTGCCGCCTTGAAGCCTCCTGGGATCTTGGCCTGCTGCTCTCCTGCCCTCTGGCTTCTCAGCCCCACCCCCACCCAGCTTTCTTCTCCTTCCCCTGCCCATGGACAGCCGCTGGCCTCCCTCCAAGCCAGAGCCTGGGAGCAGGCAGGGCTGAGGTTAGGTGCTTATACTCCACCATGTCTTGGGGCGAGGCAGCTGTCCCCACCCTGGGCTGGCAGTGCCATAGAGCATTCCAAGGGTGATTCAGAGGGAAAAAACCTCTCACTCAACTAGTGCGTTTCAGCATGGAGGTTGCAATACTCTTGTCTACCCTGGATGGGGCCAGCAGGCCTGTGGGAGGGGTGCATGCTTGGCTCAACTTTCCAACTGTCACTCACAGCATGGTTTGTTTGGCCCAGTGGCTGGCAGGAGGGGGATCCTGGGTGCTGGTGGAGCCTGTGTGTACGTGCCAAGCTAAGGAGCAGGGACCCTGGGGCCTGGGAGGGCCTGCACTCATCCCTCAAGTCTCCCTGGGCATGAGGAAATACAGTAGCAAATAGAAAACACTGGCCGGGCGCGGTGGCTCACGCCTGTAATCCCAGCCCTTTGGGAGGCCGAGGTGGGCAGATCACCAGGTCAAGAGACTGAGACCATCTTGGCCAACATGGTAAAACCCCATCTTTACTAAAAATACAAAAATTAGCCGGGTGTGGTGGCGGGTGCCTGTAGTCCCAGCTACTTGGGAGGCTGAGGCAGGAGAATCGCTTGAACCTGGGAGGCGGAGGTTACAGTGAGCCGAAATCGCACCATTGCACTCCAGCCTGGTGACAGAATGAGACTCTGTCAAAAAAAAAAAAAGAGAGAAAGGAAAAGAAAAGAATAGAAAGGAAGGAAGGAAGGAGAGAAAGAAAGAAAACACCATAACAGGTTTTAGAGCATCCTCAGGGAAAAGGAAAAATGTTATATTTTAGTACCTTTAGCAACATTTTTTTTTTCTGTTTGAACAAGGGACCCGGCATTTCCTTTTTGCATGAGGCCTTCCTCATTATGCAGCTGGTTTTGGTGGAGTATGATAGAAAAAGCAGGAGGTTTGGATTTGGAAGAGTCTGCAAGCTCCTTCACCTCTTCAGGCCTTGGTTTTCTTATCTGTAAATGGGCTTCCTGCCTTCCTTCCTTCTTATCTGTAAATGGGACCATGCTCTCTCACACCCCCGCTTTGCCTTGAACTTGGCATTCCATAAACATGATCTTGCTGGCTGCTTGGAATGCCATGCCCTTTCCTCTACTGTCAAAACTGAAATCTCTGCTCTGGCACAAGCTTCCTTGGAGTCCTCAGTCAGAATGAATCTTTCCCTCCCCGTCTCTCCCCGCCGGTCTCGCCTCTCATTGCAGTTAGCCGTGTGCTTCTCTGCACAGAGGTGTTCTTGCTCCTCACTCACTCTGACTTCCTCATCTCTGTATCCTCCATGGCCCCTAGCATGGGGCTTGGCCCATAGAAGGCGTTTTTTGAATGCATGTCTTATGTCTTAATTTCTCTGCTAGGCCCCAGCTCTGCTGGGTGGTCAAAGTTGACTTCTTAGGGACGCCAGAGTTTCATGGGCCTTAGCTGGTGCTCAGACATGGTGCTGGTCTTCGCTCCCTGACCTGTGTATTGGATACTGGGTCATTCCTTGTTTCTGTCCACATCTGTGCTGCTGTTGCACCTGGGAAACAGTCTGCGTCCATCCTATTGTGCTGTGTGGGGACTGCTCTATGACGGTGTCCAGGTCTCTGTTCTCTATCTGGGCCCCTCTTGGGCCTAGGCTTTGTCACGGCCCCTAGGTCTAGGGAGTGCTGTGAGCTGGCATCTAGCATTAACCATTGATTGTCTCTATCTGGCTGCACCTGGGATCATGATGAAGACAAAAGGGACAAGGTCTTGAATCAATGGTTAGAAGTAAACAAGTAAATAAAACAAGAATCAGAGCCATCCTCACTTATTGAACACCTGTTTTGTGCCTGACTGTGTTCTGAAGGCTTTACATATATATATATATATATATTTTATTTGTCTTCTTTTTTGGAGACGGAGTCTCATTCTGTCACCCAGGCTGGAGTGCAGTGGCGTGATCTCGGCTCACTGCAACCTCCACCTCCTGGGTTCAAGCAATTCTCCTGCCTCAGCCTCCCGAGTAGCTTCGGGATTATAGATATGCGCCACCACGCCTGGCTAGTTTTTGTATTTTAGTAGAGACAGGGTTCCACCATGTTGGCCAGGCTGGTCTCAAACCCCTGACCTCAGGTGATCCGCCCACCTCTGTCTCCCAAAGTGCTGGGATTACAGGCATGAGCCACCGTGCCTAGCCGGCTTTACATATATTAATCATTTAATATCCACAGTAACCCTCCGAGGCAAGTACCAGTACTATCCCCATTTTATAGATTGGAAGATTGAGGCATATACAGGTTGTGTAACTTGCCCAAGGGTGCATGGTTCGTAAGTGAAGAAGCTGGCATTTGAATCCAGGTATCCAATTATAATGCAGTGTCACTCAAGGGCTTTCAGGACCTGGAGGTTCTTAGCGAGCACTGGATCCGTGCTATCTTGTAGGAATGAACCCAGAGAGGGAGAGTGCTGTGCCTTACATCACACAGCAGGCCAGAGGGAGCCTAAAATGGAGTCAGCCTCCAGATTCCAGCTGGACACTCTTCCCATTGTTTACCCCTGCCTGCTTTTGAGAGAGCCCGGGGGCCATGACCCCAGGATTCAGGGGACGTGGGCCATGAAGATGGCCCTGGCAGGCAGAGGGCTACAGAAACAGGGTGATGGATTCTAATGAATCCATCTGGAGAACACCTGGAGAAGTTCATTCTGATGAACACCTGGAGAAGTTTCATGTGAGAGGCAGGCACGGGGTTGTGAGAGGCAGGCATGGGGTCAGGAGAGGAGTCATCTACCAGGCCCTGGAGTGTGGGCTGTGGAGATGGAGGAGGTTCTTAGACTGGAGTTGCCCTTCAGTTCTGTAGGGGAAGAAATGAGGTAGCTTTGCATGGGGAAGGATTCTCGAGTCCCTTGGGGAGACCAGGAGGTGACTTCGCTTTCTGCCTTGGAAACCTTCCTCAGAGACCTGGGGCCCTAGAGGAAGCCACAGACACATTTTGGGAGGGGCCGCAGACTTCTAGGGAAGCTTTGGTCATGGGGAGTGTGCAGTGTTTGGGAGTGGCCACAGAAGACGTCTGGGGGGCAGTGGGATATGCAGATCCAGAGCTAAGGGGAGAGGCCTGGGCCAGAGGCAGAGCCCTGGCAGTGGTTTGTGGGCTTGGAGTTCAGTGTGGACCCTCAGAGGAGAGAGTGAGTATAGAGAGGCAGGCAGCTCCTGGGAAGCCGCTGCTTTATAGAGGAGGGAGGAGAGGAGGAGCTGGAGGACAAGACAGAGGTGAAAACGCCTGAGGAGGCAGAGGAGCCAGGCCGTACTCTCCCCAGAAATGGCATCAGGTGTGGCATGAAGGGCCAAGGGCTAGGTCAGGTCAGGGCAGAGCAGGGCATGAAGTGGTAGGAGATACTTCTGCCCATCCCAAGCTCTAGAGTGAGGGTCAGAGGCAGCTCCAAGCAGCCTCCCTGGGAAACACAGTGCCTGGCAACAGTGTCAAGGATCTGCTCATGTTTCTTTTCTTTTTCTGCAGGAGAAGGGACCGCGCCGTGCACATCCAGCATCCTCCAGGAGAAGCAGCGTGAGTCAAGCCTGACCCTGTGGGGTCATTTCTTCCCCTTGGATGGGTGCAAGCTCATTGAGCCTGGGTCCCCTCTCATCCACTCAGAGCCTGAAAGGATGGCAGGATCCCTGCCATCTTGCCTGCAGGCAGTACCGGAGGGCCTGGGGTCACTCAGCCTGAGTTTGGGCCCTCTCTAACCCATGAACTGAGCCTCCTCGGGTTCCTGAGTTCCTATCACTGGGCAGCTCAGGCCAGCTCATGTCCCCCTCTCTGGGGACTCCACAGGGCCAGAGTGAGGGGTGGGAGGCTGGTGGGTTGGGAGTGTGAGCTCAGCAGAGCAGCTGAGATCATGGCATGAGGACAGAGAGAGGAGGACGGGGATGGGGAACATGGCCCCTGTGCCCATCACTTTTGGGTGACACAACTTCCAGGAACCACTGACGGTGCCATGGTGACTGACATGACTGAATGAGGTTCAGAGACACTTCATTCCTGGATGTGCCCGGGGTGATGATCCTCAGTATTGCTCCACGAAGAGGCTACCTCTCTGCAGAGCCCATGGCCCTGTGGCTGAGTCCCTGTCCTCTGTGTTATACAGGCGTCTCCAGGTTTCCTTCCCCCTGTGTTTTCTCAGAGAGATGAGCACAGCATTGGACCTGGGAAAGACCTGGTCGAGATGTGGCCATTTGCTGACATAGTGACCTCAGGACATCTTCCTTGGATGTTCTGGGAGGACTCGGTGGCCAATGTCTGGGCCAAATGTCTTTGCTGTTGGCAGTATTGACTTCCATATGTGGCTGGGTCAGGAGAGGACTCCATGTGTGTTTGGGGTGGGGTTGTGCTCAGAACTTTCCTGACTTCTCTCTCCTGCTCCTTTGATCTATGGTTGCAGCTTTGGGGGACCCAGTCCACTCTGCCCACCACCTCCCTGAGCTCAGGCCTGTGGCTGCTCTGCAAGCTCTTCCATCCTTCAGTTGCTGTGCTGAGGTGGAAGGACCTATGACACCAGCCTTCCTATGGCCTGGAACCCAGCCTTGAGTGGCTGCACAGGCATCCCCTGCCAGAGAATCTTTCTCTTTTTTTTTTCTTGAGACAGAGTCTTGCTCTGTCACCCAGGCTGGAGCGCAATGGCACGATCTCGGCTCACTACAACCTCTTGAGCTTCCCGGGCTCAAATCATTCTCCCGCCTCAGCCTCCTGAGTGGCTGGGATTACAGGCGCCGGCCACCATGCCCGGGTAATTTTTGTGTTTTTGGTAGAGATGGGGTTTTGCCATGTTGGCCGGGCTACTACTCTTGAACTCCTGACCTCAGGTGATCTGCCCGCCTTGGTCTCCCAAAATTCTGGGATTTTAGGCGTGAGCCACCACACCCTACATGGAGAACCTTTTTCTGCTTCTAGCATTCAATGGCAATTTCATAGACAAAGCCCTTCAGGGGCTGGTAAGTGTGAATGCCTTTGTCAGGGGCACCCCAAGGCTCAGGCCATAAGGGCATCAGGCCATGGAAAGGGCAGGGCAGAGAGAGGGCAGTTCTCTTTCCTGAGCACTCGTAGGGGTGTAAGGAACTGAGCTCAGCACAAGGGGAATGTGTTAAAATTACCTGTGGGTCTTTAGTGTAGAGGTGACTGAGCATGTGGAGAGGCTCATGTCATCAAAACATTTTCAGCTCAGGTTTTGAGAGATGGGGCCATTCCACACCATGCAAGGCCACGGGGGAAGCACTTGGTTTGGTCAGGAGACAGAAGGGCCAGGAATCCAACTCAAGGCTGGATTCCAGGCCATAGGAAGGCTGGTGTCACAGGCGCCTCCACCTCAGAAAATAGCAACTGAGGTATGGAAGAGCTTGCAGAGTGGCTGCAGACCTGAGCCCAGGGAGGTGGTGGGCAGAGTGGACTGAGCCCCCCAAAGCTGCAAGGCCCAGAGCCCTTGTTGGTTTTTTCTCTGGAAAGGCAGGGCAGAGCAGGAGAACCATGCAGGGCTGGCTGATTTGCATGTCGAGGGCTCTGGGCTCTAGGCTCTAGGGCTGGTGTCCCGTTGCCTGGTAGCTGGCCTTGGGTTGATTTAGGGCCAGGGAAGTATTGGCTTGGTGGGTGAGAGTTAGAGAAGGTGGTTGGGGATATGGGTTTGGGCCTGGTTCATTTGCCTATGAAAGGTGCCCTCAAAGGGAGTTGTTATTACCTCTAGGAATTAGCCAGCTCTGGGAGGGGCAGTCTCTTCCTGGCCAGCGAGGCCCCAGAGATGTCAAAACATTATAAAATAACAAGCATGATGAATATAGGGGTGTCACCCCATTCCCCAGGAATGCAGAAGAGGAAAAGAACCAATCATCTCCCCTTCTGAGCACCTGGCCAGAGGAGACAGCGGCAGCCCCGAAGCAAAAACAGCCACCCGACATGGGGCTTGTCTCCGGGATGCCAAACCACAGCTCTGTTTTCCACAGACACAATTGAATTGATGAGATGTTTAGTGACCTCTGGACCTGGCTGAAGAAAAATGTGTGTTTAAGTAGTTAGAATTCTATTGCTGAAGGCTGTCATCAAATTCTGCTCCTTAAGAATGTTCTTATTGGGCTGGGCGTGGTGGCTCACACCTGTAATTCCAGCACTTTGGGAGGCTGAGGTGGGTGGATCACCTGAGGTCAGGAGATCCAGACCAGCCTGACCAATATAGTGAAAACCTGTCTCTACTAAAAATACAAAAATTAGCCAGGTGTGATGGTGCATGCTTGAAATCCCAGCTACTGGGGAGGCTGAGGCAGAAGAATTGCTTGAACCCAGGAGGCAGAGGTTGCAGTGAGCCAAGATTATGCCATTGCACTCCAGCCTGGGCAACAGAGTGAGACTCCATCTCAAAAAAAAAAAAAGAGTGTTCTTATTTAGCAAAGAATGACAGCGTATGTGCAGATGAATTTTGGAGCTGAAATGGTACCTTGGAGGTTGTCTAGGTTGGGGATGCCCAAATGAACCCAAGATTTTCAGCAGTGAGAAAAACAATAATACTGTGATGTATTTTTCCATAATGTTGAGTGCATTCAATTGAGAGGACTCCTTTTCACATAATTCTACAATTATGTCCTGCCCAGTTTTGGCATTAAAATGCTTTTTCTTTTATGAAATGATGGTGACGATCGATGGTAATGTGTTTATTTTTAATGCAAAATTGGCAGAAGAAAAAATCTGTGACCTGAATTAAAACAAGAAGAATCGCAATGGCTTGCATTTATAATGGCGCTTTTCCACATAAGACAATTTGCATGCAAGTATACTTTATTTAATAGTTCCACTGGATTTTTGAAAACTCACTAAAAACAAATTGCGAGGTGGTAAAAGTTGCCCTGGAACCAGGAGTCAGAACATGCTGGGACTGGTGTGATGGTGTCTGGGGTTGCAGGTTTGGAAAGGCCTGGGTTTGACACTCAGCTTCTCTCGTCTAGTAGCTGTGACATTTTGGACAAGTTACTTGATGTCTCTCAGCCTCAGTTTACTCAGTTGTGGAAAGATGACCATACTGTCGTGCCAGGTGCGGTGGCTCATGCCTGTAGTCCCAGCACTTTGGCAGACCGAGGCAGGCAGATTGCCTGAGCTCAGGAGTTCGAGACCAGCCTGGGGAACACGGTGAAGCCGCATCTCTACTAAAATACAAAAAATTAGCTGGGCATGGTGGCATGCGCCTGTAATCCCAGCTACTTGGGAGGCTGAGGCAGGAAAATCGCTTGAACCCAGGAGGTGGAAGTTGCAGTGAGCCGAGATTGTGCCACTGCACTCCAGCCTGGCAACAGAGTGAGACTCTGCCTCAGAAATAAAATAAAATATAAATAAATAAATAAATAAATAAATAAAAGAAAAGATGGCCATATCATCTACTTCTTAGAGTTGCTGAGGGCACCAGAGATGATATCTGTGAGATACTAGGATCCGCACAGGCTGGATAGAAAGTTCTGATGGTTGTCACTTGTTACTGGACGGATGTGCCTTGGAAGCTGGAACACCTGGTCCCCATGTGATGATGAATCTTATCAAGTGGGGCTCAGTCTTTCTGGCGCTCTACTGGTCCTGCGGCTGCCTCAGTTGCCATTGTCACAGCAGTGTTTCCCCAAGAGTTGGAGTCCCCAGAGAGGAGGACATGAGCCAGCCAGACAGCACAGGGCCTCTTGGGTTGCAAGTGTGGGGAGGGAGGTCTCCATGGGCCTCTCAGGCATGCGCAGGTATGAGGTTGCAAGGGCTTGTCTGCAGTGGCTATGCGGGGAGGGGTGTCTTGGAGACTTTCTCCTTTGTGGCTGCCAGGCAGCCCCAGCCTTCATTGTGCAGTTGGGCAGGCGGCCTGGCAGCCTGGCAGCCTGCTGTCACTGGCGTGAGCCTGATATTTGAAACCAAACTAGAGGAAGCCAAGGGAACCATTGTGTGTGGGGGCTTGGTGGGGGTCCAGAGAAGAGAGAGGGCCTTGGACTTGGGGGAGGAGACCTGGGTGACCTACTGCCGAGTTGCTGTGCAGTCTCAGCTCGTGCCTGGGGCCCCATCTGTCTGTTCATGGAGTCCCTCCTGGTTCTGACATTCTCGGGGTCTTCTGTTGCCACCTCTCTGTCCCCTGGCTTCCTCTGTCTGTGCCTCTTTCTGTTTCTGCCTTGTTCATGCTGCTCCGTTAGTTAGCACAGTGACCATTTCCGGAGTGCTCCCACTATACCTGCCATGGTGCTGGCTGTAGGGACTCAGGGATCTTGTATGTTTCCATTGAACCTCACTCTTTCTGTGCTTCCATCCAGTGTGAATGGCACCATCCTCCATGAATCCAAGCCAGAAACCTTCTAGACTTCTCTGTCTCTGTCACCATCCACTATCAAATCAGCCTCTGCTAGTGTCATTCAACCTCCAGCAGTGCTATGAGACCCACCCACTCCTCCCTGTCCCCATCCCTTCTCTAGTTGAGGCCCTATCTTCTCTCTCCTGGACCATTGCATCCTCCTGTGCACTGGCGTCCCTGCCTCCCTGCCTCCCGGCCTCCCTGCCTTCCTGCTTCCCATCTCACCCACTCTGATCCTCCCTTCAGCGTGTCAGAGAGACCTTTGGAGGAGGAAAGGCTGGTTCTCACAGCCCCTGCTTTCTCTCCCATGGATCCTCTCGAATGAAGCGTGAACCTTGCCTCCATACAACCTTACCCGACCACTTTCCCCTCTTCCTGTCAGCTCTCCCGTTTCCCCAGGCTAGCTCTGGGAGGAGCGTGGACTCTCTAAGCACAGTTTTCTTGTGGGCTAATTGGGAAGCCTGAGCATACCATCCATCTCTGCGGAGGAGACAGAAGCAGTTCCTCTGCAGCAAATGGTGGGAAGGACCAGGGTCCCTCTGGACCCCGCACTGTTGGCCTCTGCCCTTGTGGCTCCATTCATGGCTGCTGGGCTCACACGTGCTGAATCCAGCAAGCCCGGCTCACCCCTCCTGCTGCAATATGCCACCACCATAGAAGAGGCAAAGGGTAGAGCTGTTGTCTCAAAGGGGCAGTAACTCCCCTTCCTCTGCCCACGCCCCCATCCAGGAACGTCCGGTGGGAGGAGGCATGACATTCTCCCAGGAGACCTGCGGCTGCCTCACCCGCTCCATGCCTCTCCCTTCCAGTCTCAGCAGCTCCACGAGGGGCAGGGCTCCGCAGTGCACAGGCTGGGAAAGTGCGAGTTGAGAGGAGCCTCCCTCTGCCCCACCCCCATGCAGGATGGGTTGGGGGGCAGATTCTACAGCAGGAAGACCTGTCTATTGTGGCCCTTGAAGTTGGACCCTGCCTGTGTGGATGACAACAGCCACCTGACACATGTGACCCAAAGCCATGCTGGTCGTCTCATGGCTTTTCCAGAGCCAGCGCCTGGCATCAGCTGCAGGGGTGAGGGCCGCAGGCAGCTGTCCCACGTGCGGGGAGGGTCTTCCCACAGCCACGTCCACACATTAGAGCAGATGCTCTGTGGGGCTGTGAACTTCCTCTTGTCCCCAGAAAAAGACCTGGCAATGGTCCACAGAGTCCCAACCCTAGTCCCAGTCTGACCCTTTATCTTCATCCTCTACTGAGCCTCTCTCCTAGCCACCAACTGAGCCCCAATTTATCCCCAGCTGGGTCCTAACTCCAGCCCCTGGTCCTGGACTGAGCTTGGGTCCTCGGCTCAGATGCAGAGAGATGTAGATGGCTCAGCTCACCTCTCCCCATCGTGGGCATGTGGTTTGACTTCGCACCCCACTGCCTAGGGTCAGTGACCAGAGGAACAGCTCTGAATGCCCTGACCAGCCACCGAAGGGCTTCCCTTCCCACATACCCTCAGCCCCTGGCCTCCCCAGGAAGACCCCCCACCACAGACAGGATGCGTGAAGCCCCTTGCCCACGGCTGGCCTCTCCACTCCTCTGCCTGGTAACTGGTGTCTTTTCCTGGCCTGTGTGGGCAGCTTGCTGAGCACAGCTGCAGACAGGCTATATTTAGCCAGCTTTAATGAGCTCAGGGTGGCAGACGTCCGCCTTGGGAGCACTTTTCTTGCATGTGTGTGTGTGTCTCTGCTTGGCATCGTTCCTTCTCGTTTGTGTGTGTGTGCCCTTGCACTTGTATGTGTGCATTAGCCTCTATGCCAACGCATTGGTGCATTCACTTTCATGAGGATGTGCATTAGCCTCTATGCCAATGCATTGGTGCATTCACTTTCATGAGGATGAGTGTGCGTCTCTGTGCGCATATACAAGTCTATCTACATAGCATCTGGGCTTTGCTGGGGCACGTGCAGCTTCCGACACTTATAGGGGTGCAAAATGGGAACAAATGATTAGTTCATTCACCCATCTGTTTAAAAAATATTTAATGAGCACCTTTATATGCCAACATCATGATAGTCTTTGGGGATAAAATAGAGCAAAATCAAACCCAGTCCCAGCCCTTAAGGATCTTGTCATCTGGGAGACGGAGGAGGGGAAGATAATAATCAAATAGTCATAAAATGAAAAGCGTGAGGATTAACCCCAGGAAAGAGAGGACCGTGGCGCTTTTGTGGAGAGGACAGGAAGAGTGGAAGGCCCCCGGAAGGAAGGAACACTGAGGTTCCTGTGGGAATTATCTGGTCACGGGGCAGTGGAGAGAAGAGCCCAGGCCCGGGGAACATTTGCTGGGACTCTGCAGTGAGAGGGAAAGGGGATGTGCGAAAACTGGCTGAGTTCAGAGAGGGAGGGGCGAGTGTGGGAGAGCGGAGCAGAAGGCGGGGGCTTGGTCAGGATAAGAGAAGCCTGGAGAGGGGTGGTGTGGGAGGAGGTGATGGGATTTGCATAGAGCACTTAGGATCCAGCCCGTGATGCAGTCAGGGTTCTAGCAGGAAACGGAAGGCTCACACAAACCACAGGTGGGAGGAGGGCTTAGCAGAGAGACTTTATTCACAGGTGAGTGAGGCTTTAAGGAAACCAAGAAGGCATCAGCAATACCCTGGGGTTGTTCCCACCCCTGAAGGAGAAGAGCCCAGAGAGGCTCCTGCATGAGCCTTCAGCAGAGACCACCTTACGATGACCCGGCATGGAGGGGGCTCCCTTGCCCCAGTTCTCCTACTGGTGCTTTCCATCGCTACACCCAACCTGTAGCTAGGGGGCCTCGGCCTCGGGCTGAGTCGGGCAGAGATGGGGCACTGAGGCTCTGGAGGGGCAAAGAGAGACCTCACTGCACAGTCTACTTACTTCCACGTGGAAGAATCGCCCTTTCCTTTGTTTTTCTGTAAGCCACTTTGATTTTGACTGTACATTCCCTTGCAGCTGTGCTGGTGAAGGACTCCTCCTCCTCTGTGTGTCCAGGAGCTTCTCTTTCCTCCCTCTCCTGCCATCGCCTCAAAACTCCAGGGGTCTTCCCAGCACTCTGGTGGGGGAAGGGTGCCTGCAGCATGCACACATGTGCAAGGGGTCCTTCGTCCACAGCGGTGAGCACGAGGACCCCAGAACCCAGCCTGGTGGTCCCTTTTGTCCTGGGCTTGCAGCTCCTGGCTGCAAGGGTTCACGCTCTCTGGAGCATGGGATGGCCAGGTCTTCTTATGTTGTTCTCCATCTTCCTGGAGTTGCGAAGGGACCCGTATAGAAGACTCTCTCCTCCACCCAGGGCCAGGGTGTGAGGATCTCTTTTCACCCTGAAGCATTCTCTGTCTCCAAATCCTTTCCTCTTGGGAACAAAAGAGCTTTTGGAAACAAAAGCCAGGAAGCTCTGCCACAAACCTTCCCAGAGGCAAAGGAGCCAGAGCTGGGAGAAGATATAAATTGGTATCTAAAAAAAAACCACCCTGCTACATGCACTTAGAAAAATTCTTATTTTTAATCTGTCTTTTGAGTAGGTAGCACATATACATGGTATAAAATGCCTCCCTCTCCTGTCTTCCAGCGCACACAATTCTCCCTAGAAGAAAAGATTATAACTGGCTTCTTAGATTCCATTTCAGAGATAATCTCTGCATACAAGAGTCTATCCATAAATATGCATTTATATATATTTTTATATCTATACCCTCACACAGATGGGAGCACACAGTTCCTTTCTTTGTGCACCTTGCTTTTCTCAGATGTTGATACTAGATCATGATTGTCTCCTTAGCTCAGTATGCTTAGAGGTGAGTTGTTTTTTGCAATGGGCATGTGCAATTTCACTGTGGTCCAATTTATTTAATCTGTCCCCTACTGGTGGACATATAGGTGCTTCCTGTCTTTTGCTGTTGTAAAAGCAATGTGGCAATGGTTAGCACTGTACATATGTCCTTTTGCACATGGGCTTGGAATTGCTGGGTCAAAGGCATTTTGCATGTTGAATGACATTGCCAAATGGCCCTTCACAGAGGCTATACTGATGTTTACTCTCACCAGCAATGAATGAAGAGATCGTTTTTCCACACCCTGGCCCATAGTGTGTCACAACTGCCAGTCTGACAGGTGGAAAAAAAAAAGTTGTCTTAGGGTAATTTCAATGAGCCTTCCTCTAGTTTAGGGTTCTAAGGTTGAGCACCTTTTTCCTATGTGTGAGAGCCATTCCTAGGCCCTGTGCTGGATGCCGCACACACTTGGCAGGGGTTACTGTGCAGGTGCGCATGGGCTGGAGTGTGCCACTGCATTCCTTTGTGTATGTGCTGTTCCAGGCAGGGCCAGGGTGGACTTGACAGGGGATCATTAGGGGGTCAGGCTAACAGCCTAAGAAGTTCCTGCTATGAGTAGCCTCTTCCCACTCTTTCTTCCCTGCCAAGAGTCTCCCTGAGGAGGCAGGGCTGTGGCGTGAAGGGATTAGTAAGAGCAAAGAGACCATTCCTTTCTTACTCCCCTCCTTCAGGACGATGAAGAGCCCTGACCTGGTGACCTGGGTTCAAGTACCCAGCCCTCCACTTACATCTTGAGAGAAATCACTTTACCTTTCCAATCCTTGGTTTTCTCATCTTTAAGATGGGGAGAGTACTCCTGACCTCACAGGATGAATGTGAAGATTGCCTGAGACACCGGATGAGGACTAGAAACTCAGGACCAGTCTTAGGGCTGTGTTTGTTGCAAAGGAGTCTGTAGGGGAACACCAGGGTTTGGGATTTCATGTCCCTCTAGCATCCCTGTGTCGTGGTGGCAGAGTTTTCTCATGGTTGTATACCTGGAAATTTCACTGGGCCCGATTCAGGATGGCACCTCTGATCTGAACTGGGATCCCCCATGAGAACTGTTCCTCCGAACTAACCCCGTGTTCACTTGGGGTATCTAACAACATGTTCTCAAGGGGCAGGGTTTAGGGCATAGGCCCTCGCAAGGGCCAGGCCCTGGTCTGGGGTAGTGTCTCTGTGAAAGGCTCACTGGGCCGTTGAAGGTTTGAACACATCACCTTAGCCTGGTTAGTCAGATGAATCCAGGTGGACGTGATTAGATTCTGACCCTGAAAGCGTTAAGGAGTCATGGAGGGACCTCAGCCACCAGCTCCCCCAGACTCTGGATGAAACTTCCCTCCCCAGCACCCTGCTACGTGGTCACTTATATAACTTGCTTGTCTAACCTCAGTGAAGGAGAACAGCCTGCTTGCAGGTCAGCACAGGTCACTCTTGAACTGTTGTAAACATTTCCTAGGTTGTGCTAAAACTTGGAATGGCTCTCCAGAAACCACCCCAACCCTTATTTGTCCTGGCTTTGCCCTCTGCTCCCTTGACCCACACGAGGCTCAGCATAGATTTGCAGGCAGCTGCTGCTCTTCTCCAGGCTGGGTCTCTCAACCTCCTGAGCCCCTTTCTATAGCTTTCCTGCTCTGTTATTGGGCATCAGACATACCCTCAGCAGGGCCTGAGCTGCAGGGGCAGGGCAGGGATGTCTCCCTCTCATTTTGAACTGAGATCTCTGGTTTGTGCAGCCTTAGAGGTTGAGAAGTAACTGTGGCAGCCCCACTACCCTGACTCAAGCTGTTTGTAGCCTTTGGTCATGTGACTGATCTTGGGCACATGACCTAGGTCTTTGTCATTGACCCGACCTTGGTCACATGACCTACTCTTGGTCATGTGATCCCAGGGGCTTGAGAGATCTTTGAAGGCAGATGCTGTGTCTGATTGGTCTTGGTGTTTTCAGCCTTGACACAAGTTTGGGCAATAACCAATAGGGTGGGAATAGGCAAGTGGTATTGAGTTCATTGTTTTTTTTTTTTAAGTCCTTGGAAGGCTTACTTTATTTTTATTTTATTTTATTATTTTATTTTTTGAGATAGGGTTTCACTCTTATTGCCCAGGATGGAGTGCAACAGCAGGATCTCTGTTCACTGCAACCTCCACCTGCCGAGTTCAAGCAATCCTCCTGCCTCAGCCTCCCAAGTAGCTGGGATTACAGGCACCCGCCACCATGCCCAACTAATTTTTGTATTTTTAGTAGAGACGGGGTTTCACCATGTTGGCCAGGCTGGTCTTGAACTCCTGACCTCAACTGATCCACCCACCTTGGCCTCCCAAAGTGCTGGGATTATAGGTGTGAGCCATGGCGCCTAGCCTCGAGTTCATTTTTAACCCAAACACAGGATCTTAATTCACTCATCATGTTCCACATTTATTCTTTCCTTCCACAAGCATTTCTTATCCTTTTATACTCCCTCATTAGCCTGTCAGCTCCTGAGGGGAGGACAACATTTCACACTTTTTTCTTTGTAGTGTTTGTATTGACTAAAATAGGAGGTTGTGGCTGGTTTTAAAATGTTCTTGCATAGGCTGGGCACAGTGGCTCATGTCTGTAAACCCAGCACTTTGGGAGGCTGAGGTGGGCAGATCACAAGGTCAAGAGATCGAGACCATCCTGGCCAACATGGTGAAGCCCCGTCTTTACTAAAAATACAAAAATTAGCTGGGCATGGTGGGGGGGCGCCTGTAGTCCCAGCTACTGAGGAGGCTGAGGCAAGAGAATTGCTGGAACCCGGGAGGTGGAGGTTGCAGTGAGCCCAGATTGCGCCACTGCACTCCAGCCTGGTGACAGAGTGAGACTCTGTCTCAAAAAAAAAAAAAAAAAGTTCCTTGCATAAACATGACACATACTTGTATTATCTATCCAATAAACATTCATAAATAGTTTTAAACTAAAAGAAATATGGACTCCTTAGAGAAAAATTGGAAAATAGATGAAAGTAGAAAGTAAAATATATATATATATATATTACAGTTGTGAGCCATGGCGCCTAGCCCCTCTAGTTCATTTTTAACCCAAACACAGGATCTTAATTCTTAATTAATTCTTTATTATATATATATATATATATATTCCATTGTCCCAGCATCTAGAGAAAACCACTGTAAACATTTTAGTGTGTTTCCTTCTAATATGAGGCCCCAAGCTTCTTCCCCCACCTCCCCCACCATTATTTAGATTGTCATTTTTCCTTTTCTGCAATGCTAGGAGCTGGGAACCTGCAGAGGAGGGTGGCCTGCAGTCTGGCTGCTGAACAAGCTCAGTGGCTTTTAAGTTTCAGTCTCTTGAAGCCCTCAGGAGCTGCCTAGGGACAGGGATGTGCTGGAGTGAGGAAGGTGGGCTCTGGGCCCCCCAGCCTGCTTCAGCCAGAGCCGATCCACTTTCATCTTTGCAAATTGGGCTCCTAAGGGAACTTTCATTGGCTAAAAATTTCCCCTGTTTTTAAAAAAGTTTTAAAACCTTCAGAACAGCTTCACGCTGTTCCATCCGCATCTGCTACTGGCTGTTGGTCCCCACATCTTGTGTGGCCGCAGGTTCCCATTCATGAGCCCACATTCCTTGAGCTCAAGTGGTGAGAGCTATGGGTTCCTTAGATAGTTTCTTATTCTGCCAGTGTGTTCCCCTCCCCAGATGCCCCTAAGCCCTTGGCATTCCCTTGAGCTGCTGGTCCAGCGACCCTATCTATGCCACATGCTATGATGCAGGGTTAGCGAGCTGGTTCCAAGAGTACCTATCAGAGCTCTGGGAGCCACTGCTCCCCTCCCCTCCCCTCGCCTCCCCTCCCCTCCCCTCCCTTCCCTTCCCCTCCCCTTTCCTCCCCTCCCCCTCCCCTTTCCTCTCCTCCCCTCCCCTTTCCTCTCCTCCCCTCCCCTTTCCTCCCCTTCCCTCCCCTCCCCTCCCCTTCCCTTTCTTTCTTTTTTTTTTTTGGTGACAGAGTCTTGCTCTGTCTCCTAGGCTGGAGTGCAGTGGGGCCATCTCGGCTCACTGCAACCCCCGCCTCCCAGGTTTAAGTGATTCTCCTGCCTCAGTCTCCCAGGTAGCTAGGATTACAGCTAAATACGTGCCCACCACCACGCCTGTCTAATTTTTGTATTTTTAGTAGACAGGGTTTCACCAGGTTGGCCGGGCTGGTCTCGAACTCCTGAGCTCAACTGATCTGCCCACCTCAGCCTCCCAAAGTACTGGGATTATAGGCATGAGCCACTGCGCCCGGCCCCACTGCTTCCTTTTCTAAGGGTCCTCAAAGCGTTTGTTTATTAATTTGCCCCAGGACTTGCCTAGGAATCAACGCCAAGCCCCTAGCTGGAATCAACCACTTTGAAAAGCAAAGTGAAATTTGCCGCCTGCAGCTTTTTGGTTGCTCTTCCTTTCTCCATAGCCTCTCAGAGTGACTCCATCATTGTGACTCTGGGTCCCCTTCAAGGTCCTAGTGCCAAATTCTGCTGGGTCTGGAGGCTAGCACTCACAGAGGGCACTTATGCTTGGACTCATAGAATCTCAGACTGCCTGACTCTTACCGGGGAATGTAGGCAAACCCCTCCTTTTGCGGTGGTTTGCAGAGCGTGTCTGAGGTCACCCTCTGAGTAGAGGGTTAGTTTCCCATCCGAGGACTCTATCCAGGGCCTGTCTCCCCTGTAAGTCTGTGTGTGTCCCCTTCTTTCTGCATGTGTGTGTCATGCGGGCTCACCTGGGGAATGGGGGCTGTGGATTGAGTCCCCCAGGTGCTACTGAATGAGGCTGTAGTTCTTCCCAGATGTCATCTAGGTATATGGATGAATCCCACATCACAGCAAAATAGCAAAGCCTTTGACTTCCAGGCAGGGCCAGGGTGGACTTGACAGGGGATCCTCAGAGCATAACATGTCTTTTTATTTTTTTTTTTGAGATGGAGTCTCGCTCTGTCTGTCGCCAGGCTGGAGTGCAGTGGTGTGATCTCGGCTCACTGCAACCTCTGCCTGCCGGGTTCAAGCGATTCTTCTGCCTCAGCCTCCCGAGTAGCTGGGATTACAGGTGCGCACCACCATGCCCAGCTAATTTTTGTATTTTTAGTAGAGATGGGGTTTCACCATGTTGGCCAGGCTGGTCTCGAACTCCTGACCTCGTGATCTGCCTGCCTTGGTCCCCCAAAGTGCTGGGACTACAGGCGTGAGCCACGGTCCCCGGCAAGTAACGTCTTTTTAAATGGGGAATGAGCTTGACTGAAAGGGCCTAACAGTCTAAGAAGTTCCTGCTCCTCATAGTAGCCTCTCCTCACTTTTTCCTCCCTGCCAAGAGTCTCTCTGAGGAGGCAGGGCTGAGGGGTGGAGGCATTAGTAAGAACAAAGAGACCATCCCTTTCTTACTCCCCTCCTTCAGGATGATGAAGAGCCCTGGCCTGGTGACCTGGGCCGGTTTAGGCAAAAAAAAAATAAAAAAAAACCTTATGTTTCCACCCATGTATGAGCTTCCACTAGCTTACAGAGGATTAGATACTTTTGTAGCTACTTCTCAGGATGTGCCACATGGTCTCAAGCTGGGCCCAGCTCTGCTTGGTTGATGCCAGGGGTGACTAACGGGGGGTGGGAGTGACTGCCAAGGATGGAGGAGGAGACTGAGTGTTTGGCTTTAGCCAGTGGGCCCTCAGCATCCACCCCTGTGGACCCCAGAGGTTGGTAGCAAGAGAGAGGGAGACAGCTATGCTCTCCAGCCGAGCTGGGGTGATGCTTTGCTTGGGGTGCTGAGTGTGTGGGTGATGACCTTGGCTTTCGTCTCAAGAGCAGTGTGGCGCATTGGTAATTAGAGGGGATGATCACGATTTGTACCTCTCCAAGGCTGTGATTAAGCAAACATAGGCTCCATTCTTCAGGCATCAAGAGCAGCCATGGTGAGCTGGGTGGACCACCTCTCCTGATGTGGAGCTAGTGGGGCACTGGGAGCTGGCACTGCGGTAGCTGGCCTGTCTCAAAGCCTGTCAAAAAACACTGTCACAAAAACAGCTGTGGGCTCCCCCACCCCAAATCTGGGCACTGCAGGGACCCAGCCTGAATAGGGACATGCAAACAGAAATTAACAGGAAGTGGGAAGAAACAGGCAGCCTAATGATGAGGTCCTGGGGTCCCCTTTATGTGGCTCTCCACCCCTTAGGACCCCCTGCCAGCTGCTCTTGTCACCAGAGTCCCTGAGGAAGCCTCTAGGGGTGGAATTATGAAGCCCAGGCCAGACTCTTCTAGAATCCCCAGAGGTTCCCAGGTACCAGTTCCTGTGAGTACTTTGAAGCAACGTGCTTCTCAGTGGATGATGCTTCCCTGAACCTGATTTCTCCTGGGGGTTTAATGGCACAGAGATGTCTCACAGGATGTGTGCATCCTGGGATCTTCCAAAAGGTTTTCACAAAAGTGCCATCCTAGTCCCTGAAAACTGGTAAACTCTATTCTCAAGGGGCCCACAGTCTGATGGGGAAATAGACGAGTAAGCCAGGACCAGTGCCGCATACTATGGGATAGCCATCTTTGCCTAGATAGATCAAAGACGGCTTTCTAGAGGTGATAGCCATTGAGCAGGGTTTTGCAGGACAAGTAGGAGTTTGCCAGTCTGCAAAGGGAGGAAGGGCTTGCAGGCAGAGGGCTCAGCATGAGCAAAGGCAAGGACGAGTGAAAGAGTTATGTCTTGTGGGTGAGTCAGAGCCAATGGCCCCAATTATCATGGTAGGAATGTCTGGCTTTTAGAAGAGCAGAGACCTGTGGGGAAGGTACAGGGAAGGTAGCCTACGGCTGCCCCTGCTTGTCTACAGGGGCCTCTGCTAAGATGAAGACGGGAGGTGTGCCTTTCTGTGGGGAAGCTCTGGTCCTGTTAGTCAACTCTCAAGGGGCCAGAATCTGAATCTGGCAGGCTAGATCTCCCTTCCTCCATCTCCCAGAGCAAAGCATTCCTGGCTTTTGTGCATGGAAAGGAAGCAAGGCTCTGTCCCCAAACAGCGTAGGAGGTGAGACTCTTTCCTCCTGCTAGGGAGGAGTGAGGGATACTGAGGACAATCCTGCCCAGTCTCTGGCCTGAGGCTCCCATCCCCACGGAACCAGGCACGGCCTCAACATCGTTGGTGGCCAGGATGCAGCAGTCATCCACCGATTTGATGCCCAGAGCATCACATGGGTCGCGAGGGAGCTGGCTCCAGACAGATCAAAGATGGAGGTGCTCCTTGGCCTTTGTAATGGGTGAGGGCGCAGAGTCCAGCCCCCACCTAACAGAGGGCATCGTGCCCAGGAGACAACAGGACCCTCATGTCTTCCCTGCAATGTATTTATAGCCTTGCCATAGTAATTTGTGGCAATCACAGCATTTAATCCTGTAATCACACTGCAAACAGGCGCCCAGCCCAGCAAGGCCGAGGAGCATGCCAGGGCTCAGGGAGGGACTTGGCACCAGGGCAGGCAAGTGTGGAGGCGGCAATGTCCCCATCAGCCCATCTTGTCAGCTGTGGTCCTGGCTCTGTGCCCTGGATGTCCCCTGGATAATGATAATAATAACAATAGCCGCTAACCCATGTGACACTTCCTGTGTTCCACACCCTGCTCTAAGCCCTTTATGCATATGAACTCATCTATCCTCACCACCACCCCATGGGGTAGCTGCTTTTATTATCCCCATATTCCAGATGAAGAAACTGAGACACAGGTCACACAGCTGATAAGAGCCAAGATGTGAACTCAGGCGTTCTGGATCCAGGGTCCGTGGCTTTAACCACGCTCCTCCCAGCCCTAGAGCCAACCTCAGCCCTGCCATCACTCCTGGTTCTTCTTGACTCACAGCCTGCCCCAGAGCCGCACACACAGCCGCACACACCATGAAGCATGAGCGCTTTGTCTCAGGGAAGCCACACTCAGACCCTCTCCCTCCTGGTACTAGTTCACGTGGTGGAAAGGGGCCTGGCAGCGGCAGACCTGGGCTTTAACCTTTAAGGTACGTGGGGCAAGTGACATAGGTTGATTGAGCCTTGGTTTGCTCATCTGTAAAATGGGGCTAATAACAAGATCATTCAGACTCAGAGAGTAATTGTGGGGACTAGAGAGGATGAATCATGTAAAGCACATAGTGCCCAGGACATAATAAGTGCTTAACAAAGCTGAGCTGTTACTGTTGTCTTGTGTTATCATCCTGTCCTGAAGAGAGAGCCAGGGTCTCCTCTAGCCAAGCCCAAGGCAAGGTCTTTAGTAAGTTAGAAATTAGGCAGGAGAGCCTAGCCAATGGGAAGAACTAGGAAGTGCTGGGCACAGCCGGGCCCCAGGACGAGTTTTCCCTCTTCCTCCATCATTTAGGAAATGATTTCCTGTCTGTGTGGGCAGTAGCTCGGAGCTCATAAAGCAGTTACCCTTTGACTGGGATTGTGTCTGTGAGGACAGAATATTTCAGAAATGCTCTTCCCTGCTGAGAAAAGCTTCTCATTTGCAGTTCTTTGTAGAGGTACCCTCCCCTGGGGCTGGTCATGGTGAGGGGATGTTGACAGGGTGCCTAGGGTTGCCCGCAAAGCCCCTGGAAGGACCCTCCCCAGATGTGACTCCTAGAGGGGAGCAGCAGGCTCTGGTGGGGGTGGGGTGTGAAGAAGGCAAGGACCATCTTCATCTAGAACCTACGACTTTAAGAGATGAGCCAGTTCCTCCTCCCTGAAGACAAACAGGTGGTTCAGCTTGGCTGTAGGTTTTAGCCACACACGGGAGGTAGCATCCATCTCATGGGGGAGGAAGGAGAGGAGCTGAAGGCAGCCTGGTGGCAGGAAGGAGGCCTCAGAGTGCAGGTATCATTTGGGTGGGGGCTCAGGGGTGGCTGTTGGATGCCTTTGAAGTCTCTCCACCCAGGAGTCCAGTGTCATCACATTCAGGAGTGTAGGTGTTAGATCAGGGGTTGACAGACATTTCTGGAAAGGGCCAGATAATAAATATTTTCAGCTTTGTGAGCTGTAAGGTGTCTGCTGCAACTGCTCTGCTGCTGTAGCACAAAAGCCGCCTGCCATAGACAATATGTAAATGAAGGAGCCTGAGTGTGTTCCAATAAAACTTTATTTACAAAAACAGGCAGTGGGGCAGATTTGGTCCATGGCTGTGGTTTACTGAATTCTGTGTTAGGTAAATGAGAGCTCAGGGAGGGCTGGGAGCCAAGAAGGACTTCTTGAAGGAGGAGGCGTTGAGCCCAGGCTGCTGAGAGGAGCAAGGAGAGATTTCTGGCAAAGGCCAGCTTTACCCTAAAGCTCATGGGCAATGCCAGTAATGTTTCAAATGCCGACCTTAACTCTCTGGGAGTCTACCTTCCCTGGAAAGTGGTCCCGTAATTCAAGCCTCTATTATTTCTCTGTTAACTTCAAACAGATATTTTTTTTTTAAGTATGTATCCAGCCATATTAGGGTTCTGCGGAGAAACCGACCGAAAGGATATATACACAGATGTATAAAAAGAGACTTATTGGCCAGGCATGGTGGCTCACTCCTGTAATCCCAGCACTTTGGGAGGCCGAGGTGGGCGGATCACTTGAGGTCAGGAGTTTGAGACCAGCCTGAGCAACATGGAGAAACCCCGTCTCTACAAAAAATACAAAATTAGCCAGGTGTGGTGGCACACACCTGTAATCCCAGCTACTCGGGAGGCTGAGGCAGGAGAATCACTTGAACCCGGGAAGCGGAGGTTGCAGTGAGCCGAGATTGCACCATTGCACTCCAGCCTGGGCAACAAGAGTGAAACTCCATCAAAAAAAAAAAAAAAAGAAAAGAAAATTAAAAAGAGACTTATTATGAGGGACTGGCTTTCGTGCATGGTTTCGTGATGATGGAGGCTGAGAGGTTCCCTGACCTGCTGTCTGGAAGTCGGGAGGCCCAGGAAAGCCTGTGGTGTAGTTCCAGCCCAAGCCCAAAGGCCAGAGAACCGGGGGAGAAAATGGCACGAATCCCAGTTCAAGTCCTAAGGCCGGAGAAGCGGGAGTGCTGATGTGTGAGGCAGGAGATGGAAGTCTGAGCTTGAGAAGAGTGAATCCTCCCTCCCTGCAGCACTTTGTTCTGCTCAGACCCTCACGGACTGCACGGTGCCCACCTGCCTTGGTGAGGGCAGATCGCCTCATTCACTGCTTCAAATGCCAACCTCTTCCCAAAACACCTCACAGGTAGACCCAGAGAACATGTTTTACCAGCTCTCTGGGCACCTCTCAGCCCAGTCAAGAGTGGGTGCGTACGCTTTGCCATCACACCAGCTCTTCTAGTTGTTCTCAGCGGGAGGCTTTGCTCAAATCGCTGTCCATAACTGGAAGTGGAAGTCCTCAGGTGGTACTCACCCTTGCTGCTGTCCTGGTGAAGAAACGCAGGCTAGTTCCTTTCGAGGAAGCCCCTCCTTTCAGGAGCACCATCCGCGATGGCCTCACTCTGCCACCCTCCCTTTTCCTTATGAGGAGAAAGGGTTTCATGTTGTGTTGGTTTCAGAGGCAGGGCCTGGATGGGGTGACTCTCCCTAGCTCCAGACTCTAACT
The DNA here is from genome assembly GCF_000001405.40 of Homo sapiens. Classification (NCBI taxonomy): domain Eukaryota; kingdom Metazoa; phylum Chordata; class Mammalia; order Primates; family Hominidae; genus Homo; species Homo sapiens. Next base: position 6,484,408 of record NC_000017.11, on the reverse strand, counting down.
TGAGCTCACCTGTGATGTAAGCCAAGGTCTCACCTTTAGGGCCAGCTGGGCCCAGGGAGTGTCTGGTCACTGTAGGGAAGCCTGGAGATGCTGAGCTCCCCTCTTTCCCTCTGCAGGAGAACTGTACCGGGTTTCCTTGAGAAGACAGAGGTTCCCAGCCCAGGGAAGCATCGAGATCCACGAAGACAGCGAGGTAGGCTGGGCTTCGGAGGGTGTCTGGGCTCAACTCAGAGGCCAGGATTTTAGCAAGAGCCCTCGGATCATAGGCGGCCTCGTTTTCTTCCAGCTCTTCGTCTGACTTGCTGTGTGACCCTGGGTGGGTCTGTGTCCTTCTCTGGGCTTTGGGTTCCCATATGAACAGGAAGCATCTCTTGGGACTCTTCCTGCCCTGACATCCCTCCTGGCAGCCCATGTCCTTCCCTCACTCTGAATGCACCAGAGGTTCTATCACACAGCAGGGTGTATTAGAGCTGAGACTGCTCCTCAGATTGCAGCTGAGACAGGCTGGACATAGTGCCTGCTTCTCTGGCCTCAGTCTCCCCGTGTGTGCGTGTGTGTGAGTGTGTGTGTATGCGCACATGTGTGTGTGTGTCCCTGTGTGCCTCCCCCGACCCCAGCCGCCTCTCTCTCTGTATTCCAACCGCCTTGGCTCTCAGGAAGGCTGCCCGCAGCGCTCCTGCAAGACACATGTCCTCCTGCTGGTCCTGCATGGGGGAAACATCCTGGACACGGGTGCCGGGGACCCGTCCTGCAAGGCAGCCGACATCCACACCTTCAGCTCCGTGCTGGAGAAGGTCACACGAGCCCATTTCCCTGCTGCCCTGGGCCACATCCTCATCAAGTTCGTCCCCTGTCCTGCCATCTGCTCTGAGGCTTTCTCGCTTGTCTCTCAGTGAGTCCATTTCTGCTTGTTTGAACTGGTTGGGGTTGGTGGGGGAACTAAGTGGAGGGGCTCCCCCTGCAGCATGGACCCCGTGGGCAGGTGGGTACCTGCAAGGACTCTCTGGGGTGTCAGATCGTGACGAAACACAAGCATCCCTGGTGGAAGGTGTGGGAAGAGTCCTCTGCCTGGGCCTGGGTGTGCTGGGGTCCCCATGAAATCTTGATCCACTTCCAGTGTTCAACAAGCCTGATCTGTTTGGCCCAGATAAAGACACTGAGTGTTGGCCGGGTGCGGTGGCTCACGCCTGTAATCCCAGCACTTTGGGAGGCTGAGGTGGGCGGATCATGAGGTCAGAAGATCAAGACCATCCTGGCTAATATGGTGAAACCCTGTCTCTACTACAAATATAAAAAATTAGCCAGGTGAGGTGGCGGGCGCCTGCAGTCCCAGCTTCTTGGGAGGCTGAGGCAGGAGAATGGCATGAACCCAGGAGGCGGAGCTTGCAGTAAACCGAGATTGCACCACTGCACTCCAGCCTGGGAGACAGAGTGAGACTCTGTCTCAAAAAAAAAAAAAGACACGGAGTGTTGAGAGTTTAGCTAGTTTCCCCCAGGGTCGCCCAGCCCATGGAGACAGGAGTCAAACTCGGCCACACGATTGCAGCCAAGTAGGAATCTGAAAAACACGAATGGTGTTTTTCCTTTGCTCTCACACCATAACAGTCAACACAGAAGACTTCCGGGCCACATGTGAGGGGCTGTTTCCATACACACCAAGCAATCAGTTCTGCTGTGGACACCAGCTGGGTGCCCTCCAATTCAATTCTGCCTCTGTCTACCTGGAGATAGCATCAGATCCCACGGGGTGAGAGCTTGGTCCCACAAGACTGCCCCAAACTTCTGACACCGATACCATGCCCCAGTTTGTTTTATCTGTGCTGCTGACAGCCCAGCTTCAAGCTGGGGTTCTCACAACCCTGTCACTGGGTTCAATTAATTGCTAGATCGGCTCACAGAACTCAGGAAAATGCTGAATCACATTTACTGGTTTATTATAAAGGTTACAGATGAAGAGATGCATAAGGTGAGGTATGGGGGAAGGGGCACGGAGCTTCCCTAGGTGTGCCAGCCACTAGGAACCTCCACGCGTTCAGCTCTCCGGAAGCTCTCCTGTCCTTTTGGCCCTTTAATGGAGGTGTCATTGGCTAGGCATGATTGACAACATAGATATGTGGTTGGACAGAAAGGGGCTGACACTCAGACCAAGTCGGGAAACCCAACAGGGCCTGTCTGCTCAGATTCTTCTTGGCCTCTGCAGCATTCCTTCCTCCTGGGTATGGGGCAGGACTCCTTCTGAAATGAGGGTCTCATGACCTAAATCAGACAACGGAGATCAGAGAATTTCTTCACAGCCAGCTCAAGGAGGGCAGGAGAATGTCAGAGAGAGAGAGAGAGAGAGACAGAGAGAGAGAGAGAGAGAGAGAGACAGACAGAGAGAGAGAGAGAGAGAGAGAGAGAGAGAGAGAGAGAGAGAGAGAGAGGTTCTGTTTTCCTAGGGCTAAGTGCCCCAACATTATAACAACGGCTATGGGAGCCAGGAACTGTGGACAAAACCTATCTATGTATTCTCTCTCTCTCTCTCTCTCTCTCTCTCTCTCTCTCTCTCTCTCTCTATCATTCTATTCTGTTTATCTATCTATTCATCCATCCATCCGTCCATCCATCCATCCATCTGTCCATCCATTATCTATCTATCTATCTATCTATCTATCTATCTATCTATCTATCATCTGATCTATCTACCTCATAATATCACAGTGCTCTGATGGAGCATAATATCACAGAGCACAGGGCACTGTGGGCTCTCTGAGAAAGGCCAGAGAGGACTTCCTGGAGGAGTGACTTTTGGGTTTGCATACCACGGCTAAGTGTGTGGGCTCTCAGGCCGCCTGGATTTGAGTCCTGGCTGTGTGGTCTGGGGAAGGTGTTTAACTTCTCCTTGTCTCAATTTCCTAATCTGTACAATGAAGGTAGCCATAGTAAATAACCTCTCAGGGTGGCTGTGAAGAGTCTGTGTGCTAATGTGTGTGAAGCACTCAACACAGTGTCCAGAATGTAGAAAGCACATAGGGATGCCAGCCTTGGGAATGCCAGCCTTGGGGATGCTGACCTTGGGGATGCCAGCCTTGGGGATGCCAGCTGTGGGGATCTAGCCATGGGGATACTAGCCTCAGGGATACTAGCTATGGGGATGCCAACCTTGGAGATACTAGCCATAGGGATGCCAGCCTTGGGGATACTAGTCTTGGAGATACTAGCCATGGGGATGCCAGCCTTGGGGATACTAACTGTGGGGATGCCAGCTTCGGGGATGCTGGCCATGACTCACATCATCTTCCTCCTGGCTGGAAGAGGGGCTCTCTCTGCAGGTGGAGAGTGGGCTGGGGAGAGAGACTTCCAACTCGCAGCAGGGAACCCAGCTGGTGGGGAGAAAGGAGGGAAGGATGTGTCCACAGAAGGGCTGGTTGAGCGCTGGGCAGCTTGCTCACTGCTGACGCTGGCACATCCTTGCCCACTGTGGGCCCTGGCACCTGTGGGGGACAAACTGAGGGGACCTCCAGGGTATGGGGCCTCTGGGAGCTCCACCCACTGCTCCAGGCACTGAGGGCTGCAGTGCTCCCCTCCTGCCTATCCTGTTGAACTAGCTAAAGGTAGGTGCCTGGGGCCGGGTGGATACCTGGGTTCTCAGCAGTCATATGTGCAAAAATGACCCAAACGCCTACAGGGCCCAAATCCTATAGGCATTCGGCAGATCACTGGGGCTGGCAGCTGGAAGCTTTGGAACTTTCAGTCAGGGGCAGGAGGGAGGCCTCTGCACCTCTGTTCTGCCTGTCCCCCTCACAGGACCTCGCCAGAGACTTGGGGCTGCTGCAGAGCCCAGCCCTCAGGCAGAGCCCTCATACCCCGGGGCTCCGGAGCTGGGAAGGGTGGGAAGAGGTCCCCAGCAGGGTGCCAGGTGTGTGGGGCGCACCGCACTCCGAATTCCCCAGGAGAATGGGAGCCGATGTTCTCAGCCAATTGTGGCTCTGAGGAGGGCTCAGTGCGGGGAGGGCCAAAGTCCCCTGCCCTGGAGCTTCCAGCCAGTCAGGAGAGAGCACGGGCAAGCCCCTTCCCTTCCCTGGGCCTTCCTTTTCCCCCTCTAGATTGGGGGAAAGTCAGAGACTCTGATTTATCTGCGTTCCTTGGACACCAACAGGAATTGCAGGCAGATCTCAATCAGAGTTGGAAGGAAGGAAGATTAGGTCTGTAATTCCGCAACCTGGCTAATTGCCCAAATCCCTGGTGTGATTCTTGTTAAACTGCGAGATGTCCAGGCCTCCCTCCAGCAGTGGCTGATTCAGGAGGGAGGTGCCCCGGAATCTGCATCTTTGACACCTGCTCACTGCTGAACTGGTGGCGCAGCATGTTCCCTTGTCACTCTGATAGTCCAGGACTTCACTGTGCTAGTTCATCATCCGTCTCAGGAACCCCTCTACCTGTCCCCAGGACATCTGACCTCCAGAGCTGGGTCACCCCTATCTCCAGGAAGACGGATGGCCTGGCCATTCATTCATGGGGCCAGCGGGAGGGAGCTTAGTTCTCCCCCAGGCAGCTCCTTGCCAGGGCCATTCATCACCCCATAATCACGGCTGGGAGGGAGCTCTTTCTCAGCTAATTAAAATCTCTCCGGCTGCAATCGAGGCCTGCTTCCTCTAATTTGTGTTCTTTGGAGATGAGGAATGGCTGACAGGGCCAGCCTTGTACACCACGAGGACTCTGCCACCTGCTGAGAGTGCTCCAGCCCTGTCACCTGCCCCAGATTCTGTCGAGTCCCAGTGGGATGTGCACTGGGCTCCATCAGCCTGAGCTTGAGCTAAGGGGGAAGGGCAGGCTCTGGGCAGGGGTGGAGAGTTCCCAGCCTCCCTGTATGGTCCTTCCTGACCAGCCAGGTCCAACAGTGCATCTGGGTCGGAAGCCCCAGGGAACAGAAGCAGAGATGGGGGCAGAGGGAGGGGTAGGTGACTTGGAGGCACTGGTCTCAGGTGAGTCTGAGCTGCCCAGAGAGGAGGGGATTTCCTAGTGGGAAGGTAGGGAGTTGAGGGTGCCAATGCAAAGTCTGGACAGTCTGCTGGCTGGACACTGTGGGGCAGGCTTTCAGCCCCCTCGGGGGTCACAGAACTTTCTGCAAAGCTGATGAAAGCTCTGATCTTCTCCCAGTGATGCAATGAACACAACATCATGTCTGCAGCTATGTGCCCAGCTCCAAGCTGTGGCCAACATGTGAACCCCAAGCCTGGCATGTCCTCTCTCCTCCTTTCCCAGCTTCTCCAAAGCCTTTCTTGAGGCCTAGTTCAAGCCCCACCTCCTCCAGGAAGTCTGCCATGATGATATGTTCCTACATGTTCCACACTAGCTGGGTCCTCAGCTGACTTCTTCCTCTATGATTGGGGTGCCCTTTGGGGCCATGCAGAAGAGGGCAATAGAGACTGCAGTCACAGGGACCCCAGGGCCCACACCCATGGCCAGCACGGGAAGGACACACAGGGAGTCAGTGTAGGCTTGAATCCTCTTCCCCTCTCCTCCCCACACTGCCTGTGCTCTGTGTCACCAGGCTCCTGCCTGGGTCTTCCTGAAGGGTCCCTGGAGCCCAATTCCTGGCCAGTATGTGCTCTCTTCTGCCTGATCCTCAGCCCCAAACCTGCCAACCTGCCCGATCCTGGCTGGGCTCACCTTGGGCCCCCTGTCTGCAGCCTGAACCCCTACAGCCACGATGAGGGCTGCCTCAGCAGCAGCCAGGACCACGTCCCTCTGGCCGCCCTTCCCCTGTTGGCCATCTCCTCCCCGCAGTACCAGGATGCTGTCGCCACCGTCATCGAGCGAGCCAACCAGGTCTACAGAGAGTTCCTGAAGTCCTCTGATGGGATTGGCTTCAGTGGGCAGGTAGGACAGCCTGCCCTCTCCTCCTCTCCCCTCCCCTGTTCCGGCCCCGGCCTGGGAGAGAGGCTGGAATCTACTGAAAGGGCCAAGGCCAGGCTGTTCTCGAATCAGCCTCTGAGCCCAAAGGTGGCTTTTGAGATCTCTGAGTTAGCCCTCATTTTACAGATAGAAAAACAGAGGCCAACAGTCTGAGTTCTGATTCTGAGCCCATGCTGCTCTCTAGCCCAAGTCTGACCCCTGAGAGTAGCCTACTCCCCGTCCTTGGGCTGGCCTGGGCCAACGCCAACCCTGACCCTCCCCAGTTTGCACACTGCTTCCCAGTTGGGCTCTCTCAACACCTCCCAAGGACGAGTTTCTCATTCTCCTGTGGGGAGGCAGCACTGCTCTGGCCGGGTGTGGGGGTGAGGGGTCAGCAGTGGGCAGGCCTGCAGTCCCAGCTGCATCTCTTCCAGGTGTGTCTCATCGGGGACTGTGTGGGGGGCCTCCTGGCCTTCGATGCCATCTGCTACAGTGCGGGGCCCTCAGGGGACAGCCCTGCCAGCAGCAGCCGGAAGGGGAGCATCAGCAGCACCCAGGTACAGCCGGGGGACAGGACCGCGGGAGGGGTATGCCCATAGGAGCAGGGCCTGCCCCTCGGGGAGAGAGTGCTGGTTCTTCACGTTGGCACCATGACATCCAGGTCACAAAGAAGTGTATCATAATCCAGCTGGGCGCAGTGGCTCATGCCTGTAATCCCAGCACTTTGGGAGGCCGAGGTGGGCAGATCACCTGAGGTCAGGAGTTTGAGACTAGCCTGGCCAACATGGTGAAATCCCATCTCTACTAAAAATACAAAAATTAGCCGGGCATGGTGGTGGGTGCCTGTAATCCCAGCTACTTGGGAGGCTGAGGCACGAGAATCACTTGAACCCAGGAGGTGGAGTTTGCAGTGAGCCAAGATCGCACCACTGCACTCCAGCCTGTGTGACAGAGGGAGACTCTGTTTCAAAAAGGAAAAAAAAGAAGAAGAAGAAGAAGAAGTGTATCATAATTCTACAAGAGTAGCAGGGGATTATTATGACAGGTGTGGAAACTGAGGCCTGGAGAGCTGGATTTGGCCCCTTCGACAGCCATCCAGCATCCCAGTGGGAATGTCAATCCCGGTGGATGCGGGAGAGAGCCTGTGCCTAAAATCCTACCATGATTGCAATGTGGCTTCCTGTGTCTTTTGGAAGAAGGGTAGCCCCTCACATCTTAGGATGAAGGGGTTGGTTTGTGCTTGGGGGGAGGAGACAAGGCCCCAGAGTCTCCCGTGACAACAGTCTTTTTCTCTCCTGTCCCCTGTTCGGTCCCAAAGGACACCCCAGTCGCGGTGGAGGAAGATTGCAGCCTGGCCAGCAGCAAGCGTCTCAGCAAAAGCAACATTGACATCTCCAGTGGGTTGGAGGATGAGGAGCCCAAGAGGCCGTTGCCGCGGAAACAGAGCGACTCCTCCACCTATGACTGCGAGGCCATCACCCAGCACCATGCCTTCCTCTCAAGGTAGCCCCTCCCTGTCCAGAAGCAAGAAGACCTTGGCTCAGAGCCAACTGGGAGGGCTGTGACCAGTCAGATGTCCCAGGCCCTTCCATGGGGGCCCATAGATAAGCACTGAAATGCTGGGACCAAGGCCACTCGCCATCGGCCCTGTACTGAGGGACCACAGCCACTCGTCGGCAGCCCTGTACTGAGACTCTGGAACCTGGTTCCCTGTCCCTGCCCTGCTCTGACTTGCAGAGAGACTGGGAACAGTCGTCCTTTTCTGAGCCTCGGCTTTTCTTCTGCAAAAAGATAATGCTGCCCAGCCTACTTCACTGCATGGTTTTAAGAACCTGGCGGAGTAATTGCTGTGACTGTGTTTTGTGAGTCACCCGAGGTGTGTGTTGTTATCATTTCTCATAGGGAAAGAGAGGGTCAAGTAGGTCAGGAACTTTCTAGAGGTCATGCAGCCAGTGACGGAAGAGCTGGGATCATCATTCTGGTCTCCCTATCCCAAGTTCATGTATCTAATCCAACACACTTTTGTTTATGGGCCAGGCAGGCTCCTCTACAGAACTGTTTGCCCTTTAACTTTCTAGAAGAGACATGTTAATCAATGTGGGCTAAACACATTATCTGCACATTAATTCAGCTTACACGTTAATTGAACTTGGACCCAAATTGGAAGGAATGTCTCTTTCTTTTTCCTCTGCTCCTCAGCTCTCTTCTTCCTTCCTTTCTCCTTCCTCCTTACCCAAGTGATAAGTATCATGAGGTCATTACAACATTTGGAAGATAATCATCTCACCACCCAGAGGGAGCCAACAGTCTCATTGTTAACATAGAGACTGTTTCCTTCTACATGCTTTTAAGATCGTTTTATTTTAAAAAAACCCTTTATATTGTGATCTTTTCCTGATATAATTAAAAATACTTGATAAATATTCTTAATGGCAATATAATGTCGAATGAATGGATATCAGTTTACTTAATCCCTATAATTAGGCATTTTGGCTGTTTCCAATTCCTTAGCAGTATAAATAGCCCTACAGTGAACATCTTTGTGCATAAACGTTAATGTATATATTAGGGTGATTATATTTGGATGGATTCCTGGAGGAAGAATTATTAGGTCAAAGACTCTGCACATTTAAATCTCTGAATGTTTAAAGCCCCGCTGACAGATGATCCTTTAGAAAAGCAGCTACCTTCTAGTGAGGCTTGCAAGGTGAAAAATCTCAACAGTCCTGGCTCATCCTTGAAAAATCCTTTAGGAGAGCCCCAAATTTGGAGAGTGATGAGAAGTTGGAGGCTTCCAGGAGCTGGTCTGACACAGCCAGCTTTCCCCTCTGGTGTAGGGACAGATGGTGGTTTCTTTGGCAATTAAGTAGTTGGCATGTGTTTAGGGACCACGCTGTACATGAAATATGTATTGTTAAACATCAGAGTCATCATCTCACTGTGAGATGCTCACACTGCAAGAGGCAGGAGGGAGTGCGGAGACTGAGGATTCAACTTTGCAGACTCGCTCACTCCTGAGGGTGGGGCACTTGTCCACATGATTTCAATAGCTCTTTCTAAAGTTTGTTCTCCTCTGACTCAAGTAGTTTAGTTGCTTTGCATTCAGTTAATCGATTCACTCTAAGCTGCAGCTAATGGCTAGCTGGAAGGTCAGGGAGGTGCCCAGGTTTCCTTCTGATTCTCAGCGTCCTACTCTGGGTCTGTGGCTGAACGTAACTTGGATTCTTCCCGGGACAGTGGGCACCTGGGTTGGAAATGGTTGGAATTCTGTGTGTCTCACATTTTTCTCCTTAAGCTCTGCTTCATCTGTGGGCTGGGGCTGGGGGTGGGGAGACCAAGCTGTTTGCATCTGTGTCTGCGGGTTGCCTGGAACAGGAATTACGATGAAAGCCCTGATCCCAGCAGAACAGAACTGACGTTAGCCAGCTGAGTGTTGGGCAGGCTGGGCTTGTCTGGTACACAGTGCAGGAATCCTCAGTGTGGCCAACACAAAGCCAGCATGACGAGGCAGGCCTGCCAGTGTGTAGGATGCTCAGGCGCCCCAGGTGCTCAGCCTGTTTTTGTAAGTAACATTTGATTGGATCCCAGCCATGCATATTTAATCACTGTCCATGGGCGCTTTTATGCTGCAATGGCAGAGTTAACTAGATGCAATGGAGACCACACGGTCCATGTCGTCTGAAATATTGACTCTCTGGCCCTTTGCAGAAAAAGTTTGTTGATTCCTTTTCTAGCCAAATATCAGCCAGGCCTTGGTGGCCAGTGCTGACTGTAGGTGGTGTGCAGCCGGTGGACTCTCAGCCCCGCCCCAGAGATGGAGGGTTGGGCACTTCACGCTCAGAATTCAGGCTGCGCTGCTGTGTGAACACTCCCGCATTCTCGGTCCTTCCCTGACCTGCCCTGCCCTGCGTCCTCCTCCCTCCGCAGCATCCACTCCAGCGTGCTAAAGGATGAGTCTGAGACCCCGGCGGCTGGGGGGCCGCAGCTCCCTGAGGTCAGCCTGGGCCGCTTTGACTTCGATGTGTCCGACTTCTTCCTCTTCGGCTCGCCACTGGGCCTGGTCCTGGCCATGCGGAGGACGGTGCTGCCTGGGCTGGACGGTAGGGATGGTGTGGGCTGGGGCCTGAGGTGCCTGTGCGTCACTAGGGCCACCGTGTCAGGGCCTCAGAATGAGGAGAGTGAAGTCGGGGACAGGGGCAGGGAGGGTCACAGAGTTGGGATAGGTGGAAAGAGAGGAGAGAGGGTGGGGAAGAGGAGGGAGAGAGGAGCAGCTTCCCTCCTGACACAGGGCGAAGGTGAGGCAGCTTCAGATGGATTTCACTCTCCATGTCAAGTGCCCCTGGCTGCTTTGTGGCCTCATTGTCCGGTGGTCACGCCCTATGGGGAAGAGAAGACAGAATATTCAACCTCTTGCCTCCCACCCTCTCCTTCTCCTGTACTGAGGCAGATACGACTGCCAGGTTGGTCTCACCACCCACCCCCGCATATCCCCAAGCCCACCTCAGGTGCCTTTGCTCATGCAATACCTGCAACCTTTTTTTTTTTTTTTTTTTTTGAGATGGAGTCTCACTCTGTCACCCAGGCTGGAGTGCAGTGGCGCGATCTCAGCTCACTGCAACCTCTGCCTCCCGGGTTAAACCAATTTTCCTGCCTCAGCCTCCCGAGTAGCTTGAAGTACAGGCACCCACCATGACGCCCAGCTAATTTTTGTATTTTTGGTAGAGATGGAGTTTCACCATGTTGGCCAGGCTGGTCTCGAACTCCTGACCTCAAGTGATCCACCCGCCTTGGCCTCCCAAATTGCTGGGATTACAGGCGTGAACCACCGTGCCCGGCTAATACCTGCAACCTCGAATGCCTTTTCCTGCTCCTCTAAAATGTACACACCAGGCGATTGGCACCAGCAGGCATGAGGGGTGGGGAGGGTATCTGTGACTCTTAAGGACAGAAGTACAGACCGTCTGAGGCTGCAGGGCACCTTGGGTATCCACAGATCCATGCTTTTGGCCAAAGCTTACTGACAAGCTACAGTATGGAACAGATAAAGTGGGTGGTAGAAATGGAGGCGAGGAGGCAGAACCCCATGGCTGCCCTCAGTGTCGCTAATGAACCCTAGGGCTCCCTGGATGCTGGACGGTCCAGTCCCTGTTCTAGGAGGACAGGGAGGCCCGCCGATGAGGTGGATGCCTCAGTGGAGACACCTGCTGGTCAGCGAGAGAAGTGTTCCACCAGCTCTGGCAAACCTGGAACTCTAGCAGCAGGCCTGGGAACTGAGTGTTTATAGCCTTGAGGCCTGTGGAAGGGGCAGCTGACCTGCCTGAAGGAACCTGGGTTGGCTTCCTAGGTCAGGTGGTAACTGAGTGAAAACTGGAAGAATCTAAAGGAGTTGCCCCGTGGAAATGGGGGAGGGAGGGCCCACAAGGAGAAGGGATGTTTTGAGCAAAGGCTCAGAGAAAGGAAAGCTGCAAGCCTGATTGGGGAAGGGCAGCTGTGCAGCACGGCTGCAGTGCTGGGTGCCTGTCACTGCGCTCCTGGGTGGGGAGACAAACTGAACGTAATGGCTTTGTTCCCGTGGGGAGCAGGGAGCCCGGGGAGGCTCTTGAGAGGGGAGTAGGCTACTCCAGGCTGCATTCCAGGGAGCCTCCTAGGGCCCAGGGAGCAGGTACTAGAAAGTGGCTTCCCTCTGTCTTCCCACTCACCCCAGGCTTCCAGGTGCGTCCTGCCTGCAGCCAGGTCTACAGCTTCTTCCATTGCGCAGACCCCTCTGCCTCACGGCTCGAGCCACTGCTGGAGCCCAAGTTCCACCTGGTGCCGCCTGTCAGCGTGCCTCGCTACCAGAGGTTCCCACTGGGCGATGGGCAGTCCCTCCTCCTCGGTAGGTTCTTGGGGGTGGGAGAGAGTGTGCTGAGCTGGAGGTGGGGCCCCAGCCCATTCAACCCCTCCAAGCTCTCAGTGAGTAGGGTGACTCACCTGAGCAGGGGCTGTGAGAACAGAAGGTTAGCCGACTCCTCTGTCTTCAGAGTCGCCCACCTGTGCTAAGCACCTGCTTGTCTGAGGCATCTTGGGGCTCAGAGGCCCCCAACAGGCTCCCGGACACACTCCTGTGGCCAGGGCTGGTGTAAACTTGAGCTTTCAGAGCTGATGGCGGGTCCAGGGATCCGTGCTCCAATCTATTTTTTTTATGAGTGCCCAGCCTGGACTCTGAAGGGGTAGGGCAGAGAGTGTGCCATCCTGGTGGGCTTCATGGAAGAGGTGGCCTTTGATTAGGGTCCAGAGAGGGGAGGTGCATTTGGGCAGGTGGAGAAGAGCTAGAGGATGAGGGTTGAGATCTTCCAGGCAGGGAGAACAGCAGGAGCGAGGGCAGGTGTTTTGGCGAAGAGCCAGTGGCCTCCAGGGTCAAGTGGGGTGAACCGGGCATGGACCGAGTGTATCGTCGATGGGAGACCTGTAATGGACAGTCAGCAGCTTGGAAATCGGAGCCTTGGCTCCACGCCCTACTTGAGGAAATTTAGCCTAAGCCTGCTCAGAGGTTTGCGTCAGGGATGGGGGAGTTGTGCATGGGGCCGATTCAGGATTAAAAACCATCCCTTCCTCACCCCTAATTCAATGGAGCCTTTATTTCCAAATCCCTGCCTGCCTGGAGCTTCAATAGGTCGGCTAGGCTGGAAACCTCCCTCCCCCATGGATCCCTCTTTGGTCAGGGGACTCCCCTCCCTCCCCTGAGGCTATCCTAGCTCTCAGGCTGGAGTCCCCATTCCCTTCCAGAGGCAGCCTCAATTCTTTGTGGCGCAGGGGAGGAGTTGGATAAGAGAGGATATGGCTATGAGTCACTCCTGGGACCTCAGCTGGTGCTTTTGGGGCAACGTCCCAGAGGCTCCCTCTGCAGCTTTATTGGAGGTAGGGGTGATGGCTGGGACTCCAGCTTGTGTCTGCATAACTCACAGCTGCAAGGAGGTAAATGCGGCAATATGCGGTGGCAGCGGGGTCCCTTCAGGCCCAGGGGACTGGTGGGGTGGGCACAGTGAGAGGGGCAGGTGCCTGCTGGGCTGGCAAGTGAGCAGAGCCGGGGCTGACTCCTCCAAGTGCCCAGCCTCCCTCCCAGCATGGGGCTGGCACTGAGTGGGCAGCTCTGCTGGAGACACGTGACTCAGCCTGACCTTGAAATTCCCCCTCCAGCTGATGCCCTACACACCCACAGCCCCCTCTTCCTGGAGGGCAGCTCCCGGGACAGCCCGCCACTTCTGGATGCCCCTGCCTCGCCCCCTCAGGCCTCGAGGTTCCAGCGCCCAGGACGGAGGATGAGCGAGGGGAGCTCCCACAGCGAGAGCTCGGAGTCCTCGGACAGCATGGCACCCGTGGGTGCCTCCCGCAGTGAGTGAGGTCCTTTTGGGGCCCTGCCTGGATTCGGGGGAGGGGAACCTTCCTCTGGGTGTTTGCTGGGCCACTGCTAGAGCTGCTGAGGGCAGGCCCTGGGATAGGGAGAAGGTGAAGGAAGTCCTGGGGGCTTGCTTCTGCCTTTAGAGAGCTGGGCGTCTGCTGATGGAGACCTGGCATCGGTCCAGATCCTCACTCTGGCCCCAAACTGAGCTCTGACCTTGGAGGAACCTTGACCTCTGACCCTGGACAGAGCCCTGAACTCTGACCCTGCCTCAAATCAGAGCTCTGACCTTGAGGAGAGCAGTGACCCCTGATCCCTGACAGGGTCTGAGCTTTGACCTCAAACAGAGCCCTGACCTTTGACCCTGGACAGGGCTCTGACCTCTGACCATTAAGGAAGTGCTGAACCTTCCAGACATAGACTCAGCGCCAACTTCAGGCAGAGCCCACTGGGAACTGCCACTGAGCGGCGGCCCTGGGTGAGACTGTGGACGTCTCTGTGGGTCTGGCCCTCCTTCCTGGGCATGGGCTTGGCACGCACATCTTAGGGGAGGGCTGGTGGGTTTTGAGAAGGAAGGAGGAAGAGCAGCGCGTTCCCCAGGCCTCCTCCAGGCCAGGGTGCTCCCGCCCAAACCCGTGCCCCACGTGGGGCATCCACCACCAGTCTGTGCAATGGGAGACCCCGCTGCCCCTCGGGTGAGGCCCCGGGCCGGCCACGCATCCTCACCTTCCTCTCCGACCCACAGTCACAGCCAAGTGGTGGGGAAGCAAGAGGATCGACTATGCCCTGTACTGCCCTGATGTCCTCACGGCCTTCCCCACCGTGGCCCTGCCCCACCTCTTCCACGCCAGTTACTGGGAGTCCACAGACGTGGTGGCCTTCATCCTGAGACAGGTACTGCTGCCGCAGTCGCGGGCCTGCCCACAGCCACCCCAAGGGGGTACCGCCCCTTCTCCAGCTGGAGAGGAGGCTATTCTTGCAGACACTGTTCAGCTTTTGGCCTTGATCCTAAGAGCATGAGGAAGGCATTGGAGCACCTACGTGAGTGGGGAGTGACATGACCAGAGAATGGGCTTCATAAAGACATTGGCTCCTGGGTGGCTGACGGCATGGTACACTCTAGAAAATTAAATATAAACTACGCAGGAGAGTGTCCCAGTGTTTCAACTTGGAGACTGGAGTAGTCAGTTCCCACTCCCCACTGAGTCTCAATGTCCTCGTCTGCAAAACAGAAGGTATAGCAGAAAGGCCGGCGCCAGAAGGAGAGCCTGGTGGGGAGGGAGTCTGGGGAGCTGGTAGGGGTCATGATGTTCATGAACAGCCGTGATGGCCAAGGTCAGGGGTATGGTTTTATATTGGGTTCAACGGGAAGCCATTGCAGGGCTGTGAGCAAGGAAGAAATAGCAACTGGCTTGTGTTTTTTGAAGGAAACCCTGAGGCTGAGGCTGCTGTTTTCACGGCAGGAGAGGAACCATGAGGCCTCTTGTGAGGCCAGTGCAGGGGCCCAACTTAGAGAGGAGGCTTGGAGTAGGACAGGGGGTGGAGGTGCCACAGAGTGGCAAGATTTGCATTACGGTGAGAGCGCTTGTGGCTGTCTGCGTTGTAGGAGAAAGACGGGAGCCCAGTACGTCCTGTTTCCCACTTGAGTGACTAAGGTGGTTCTGTGTCCTGCACGTGCGGAAGAGCAGGGCTGGGCAGGGGGCGGAGGAAAGTGAGTTTTGTTTGTAGGTTCTTGGGGGTGGGAGAGAGTGTGCTGGGCTGGGGGTGGGTCCCCAGCCCGGTGGCACCCAGGCCAGGGTGCTCCAGCCCAAACCTGTGCCCCACGTGGCACATCCACGACTGTCTGGGTGTGTGAAGTGTGAGCTGCCTCTTAGTTGCTGGGACGGAAGGGGAGTAGAGGAGTCTGGAACTTAGAGAAGACATCAGGATTCCAGATAAAAATGTGGGTGTCATCAGAGCTTGGACGGCATTTACAACTGGCGATGAGTGCCAGACTAAGGGTGCTCCTACAGAGAGGGAAGTTCAGGGATGAGTCCTGGAGCTCCCCCAGGGAGAGAAGGAGAAGCCACTGAAGGAGAGAAGAGGACATCCCTGAGGTTGGAGGACCCAGAGAGTGTAGGGAGAGGACCCCTGAGATAGGCGGGGTGGGAGTCACCGGGGCAGTGGCAAGAATGGCTTCCGTAGAGGAGTGATGGAGAAGAACCCTGACTGGAGTGGGTGGAGGAGAGGGGGCAGGTGAGGAAGGGGTGACAGCATATGGGCTAAGTCCTCTGTCAGTGCTGCTGTGAGGGACAGCAGGGATGTGGCGGTCACTGGAGAGGCATGAGGAATCTGAGAGAGTATTTTTTAAGATGGGCAGTATTACACGTATTTGAATGCTAAGGAGAGTGATCTAGCGGAGGGAGTCTAATCAGCTCTGCGGGATTGGGAGGGGAGCATGGCTGGAGCAACGTCCTCAAGAAGCAAGGAGGGGCTGGGATCAGGACTCAAGCCGGCCTTAAGAAAGGGCCACCTTGTTGTAACAGAGGGAGGGCAGAGAGTGGGGACAGATAGAGGTGGCTGCCAGGTTTGGGCACAGCGGGGCAGAGACTTCTCTCAGGAAGGGAGCCAGCTGGGAGACTGCTCTGGCCCCAGCTATCAGGACAGGAATGCAGGTCCCGGGGTCTGCGGCCTCCTGACGGTTCCAGGCTGTGAGGTTGGGGGGTTGCAGGGGCAGGGCCCAGCTGGCCACAAGCTGGTGGGCACTGACACCCTGGGAGGGAAGCAGAGAAGCCAGAAGACCTGACCGGGGCCCTGCTCGGCTCTTGGCTAGGTAATGCGCTATGAGAGCGTGAACATCAAGGAAAGCGCCCGCCTGGACCCTGCAGCACTGAGTCCTGCCAACCCCCGGGAGAAGTGGCTTCGTAAGCGGACTCAGGTCAAGCTGAGGGTGCGTGCATGCTCAGTTCGCATGTGGCTGGGACTGTGTCCTCCGGGAGGTGGGGCTGGCCCGGGGGCTGGGGCATCCACATGGGAGGTAAGCGCTTCAATTTGTCCTCAGAGCTCAGCACCCAAACAGGCTGGGGCTCACACTCAGATGGAGCCCAGGCACTGCAGCTGCAAGGGTGTGTGAGTTGCTTCCCATGGCCTGGTTCCACAGGAGCCCTGAGGGCAGGAGTCCAAGACACTAGGGTTGGTGAGGAGATACCAGTTATGGAGCAATTGCTATATGCCAGGCTACAGTAGATGTGGACTTGAATCAGAAAGAGTCCTGGATCTCAGTCACTTACCATTGAGTATGGCCTGGTGTGATATTTGATAGAGGAAGGTACAGATTAAGACAAAGATGGAAAGAAGGATTGTAAGGGCAAATCATTCAGGGCTTCTCTGAAGAGGCTCCTCTGTGGGGTATTGAAGGATGAATAGGAGTTTGAGGTGCATAGATTTATTTATTCACTCAACAAACGATCATCAGTGCCTACTCTGTCTCAGTCATTCTGCTAGAGAGTGGAGCACAGGGTTGTACAGACACAACCATTGCTATGGTAGGCATCTCCAGTCTGGTGAAAAGACCAGACATGGACCCCAAGAACAGTCCTAAAAGGTAGAAGGAGATCAATCCTTCATGAACCAACTCTTTTTTGGTAAACATATTTATTGAGATAAAATCCACATATTCTATAATTTACCCATTTAGATAGTACAATTCAGTGGATTTTAGTATATTCACAGATGTGTGCAACCATTACCATGGTCAGTTTTAGAGCTTTTTCATAACCTCCAAAAAGAAGCTCTGTACCCTTTAGCTGACACTCCCTCACTTGCCCCAGGCAATCAGTAATCGACTTTCTGTGCCTGCAGATTTGCCTATTCTGGACATTTCATTTCGATGAAATGATGTAATATGTGACCATTTGTGTCTGGCTTCTTGCACTTAGCGCACTGTCTTCAAGGTTCATCCAACTGGTCGCTGTGTCAGAAATTCCTTTCTGAGGCTGAATAATATTCCGTTGTATGGAGATGCTACGTTTTGCTTATCCATTCACTACCTGATGGACATTTTTTGGGTTGTTTTCACCTGTTTTTTTTTTTTGGTTTTTTTTTTTTGTTTTGAGACGGAGTCTTGTTCTGTCGCCCAGGCTGGAGTGCAGTGGTGCAATCTCAACTCACTGTAACCTCCCCTCCCTGGTTCAAGTGATTCTTCTACCTCAGCCTCCCAAGTAGCTGGGATTACAGGTGTTCACCACCATGCCCGGCTAATTATTTTATTTTATTTTATTTTTTGTATTTTTAGTAGAGATGGAGTTTCGCCATGTTGGCCAGGCTGGTGTTTTCACCTTTCGGCTACTATGAATAATGCTGCTATGAACGTCCATGTATAAGTTTTTGTGTTTTTCATTTCTCCTGTGTTTTCATTTCTCTCGGGTAGATGCCTAGAAGTGCAATTTCTGTATCAAATGTTAACTCTATGGTTAATCATATAGGGAACTGCCAGACTGTTTTCCACAGTGACTGTACCATTTCACATTCCCACTGCAATGTATGAGGATTCTGATTTCTCCGCATCTTCAGCAACCCCTGTTATTATCTGTCTGTTTGATTCTAGTCATCCCGGTGGGTGTGACGGGGTATTTCATTGTGGTTTTGATTGCATTTCTCTAATGACTCGGGATGCCGGATCTTTTCAGGTGCTTATATTCATGAACCAGCTGCTCCCTCTCCCCTGACAGTGCACCTGTAAGGGGGCCTGCGTTCCCTACTTGGCTGAGTGTCTCCAGGGCAGGGCCCACGACTAGTTTATCTCAGGGACCCCATGCAGATGAGGTGTCTGCAGATATTTGTTGGATTGAATTAAAATGCATGGGAATTGAAAGGAGGTTGAGAACCTGTCTTTGAGGAGTCCGAGGAGTGTTTCTTGGCGATGATGGCGCTGAGTCTAGTCATAGCGAATGGGCTGGAATGTGGGGGAAGAGGGCCAGGGCCAGGGATGGCACCTAGAGCCAGTGTGGGGGGCGGGACAGCGGTGTGAGCAAAGGCCTGGAGGCTGCTGCAGAGCCTGGCAGAAAGGACCAGAAGGTGTGGATGGGGAGCAGCAGGAGACAGACTGAAGAGGTCGTTCAGGCAAGCCTTGGAAAGCTAAGCTCAGGTTCCGGACTCTACGCAGAGGGCAGTGGGGAGCCCGGGAGGGTGTTAGTAGAGCTGTGCTTTATAGAGACAGAGGATCTGTTGCAGGGACTGCCTTTGAGGAAGGAGCTCCATTAGGGAGCTGTTAGCAGCATCCAGGCGATGTGGCTGTGCGAGAGATGAAGATGTGGCCAGTGCGGTAAAGGAGTGGTCACTAGATGGAGAGACTGGGGTCTTGGAGGCCAGGCTGGGAGTGGGGGCTGGTCAGGGCCAACACAGGCTGCAGAATGAACTGAAACCAGTTCATTGATAAATGAAGAAAAATAGGGAGGTTGAGACAGTCACAGATAAAATGACGCAGCGTCCAGGATTGCTCCAGGATAATCCCGGTGGGGCTGGGGCCGAGGCTGGGGAATTGGGCAAGGGAAGAACGAAACCAGGATGGCCACGAGTTTGTTGCTAAGTGGTGGAGCAGGTGCTGGGAACACGAGGCTTTGTTACACTCTTCTCTCTCTCTATGCTTGTGCATTTGAAATTTTATCTTAAAAAAAAAGACAGATAGTAAATACTGTTGGATGTGAGCTGTGATGTAGAAGAAAGAACCAAAAGTGACCAGGCAGTTTCCAGCCCGGGGATCTGGAAGATAAGCACAGGCTGTGAGGCCAGTTGTCCCCTCAGGGCCGAGCAGAGTCAAAACAGAGAACGGGCCAGGCACGGTGGCTCATGCCTATAATCCCAGCACTTTGGGAGTCCGAGGTAGGCAGATCACCTGAGGTCGGGAGTTCGAGACCAGCCTGATCAACACGGAGAAACCCCATCTCTACTAAAAATATGACATTAGCCAGGTGTGGAGGCGCATGCCTGTAATCCCAGCTACGCAGGAGGCTGAGGCAGGAGAATTGCTTGAACCCGGGAGGTTGCGGTGAGCCGAGATTGCGCCATTGCACTCCAGCCTGGGCAACAAGAGCAAAACTCCTTCTCAAAAACAAAAAACAAAAAACAAAACAAACAAACAATCAATCAAACAAAAAACACGAAAGCAGAAAACGTACAATGGCAGGAAGCCCTGTGCACCTTGAAGACAGCGTTTGGGGGACTCACGGTCTGTTTTTCTCACACGTTCCCTGGGAACACATCTCTGAAACTCTAGCAGAAGTTAGTAGAGAGACATGATTCAGCAAGCTGATATGCCTCCAGCCAGTCTGAGGAACACTGCAATGATAAAGCAAGGTTGAGCCTCCCTTGCAAGGGCTGAGCCAGCTTCTTTCTGTCCTTCCAGAATGTCACGGCTAATCACCGGGCCAATGATGTGATTGCTGCTGAAGATGGCCCCCAGGTCCTGGTGGGGCGGTTCATGTACGGGCCCCTCGACATGGTGGCTCTGACTGGAGAGAAGGTACCTGGGGCTGGGCCTCCCCTCCTCAGCCACTCCACCTGCACCAGGTGCCTCATGGAGCCACATAGCGTGTGGGGTGAGGGTGTCAAGAGGGCCGAGCTGCCTGGGGTGGAAGCACAGGGCCAGGAGCTACCCACCTGCTTGGGCGGGCCGGGAAGGGTGAGCAAGGAGGAAAGGATGGGCTCAGAGTATCCAAGGACAAATGAGGAGCCAGGCTGGCAGGAGCCAGGGAATGTCAGGCAGGGACCTCAGCCCAGAGTTCCCCCGCCCAGCCCCTCTGCCAAGCCTGTAGCCCCTCAGCCTTCAGGGAGTCCCTGACCCCCTTCACTGCCGCAGGTGGACATCCTAGTAATGGCAGAGCCATCCTCAGGCCGCTGGGTACACCTGGACACAGAGATCACCAACAGCAGTGGTCGCATCACATACAATGTGCCGCGGCCCCGGCGCCTGGGGGTTGGTGTCTATCCTGTGAAGATGGTCGTCAGGTAAGACCCAGGGGCCATTCTCAGGGTGGTTTCTCTCATTTCTATGGCCCTTCCAGCCAGGCCTGTCTAGAGGATGGGGTCCTTGGGGTTCTTTGTGGGCCCCCATCTCTGTCTGCATGGACAGAGGTGGATGGGAGAGGTCACCAGCCGTGGCATCAGGAGATGCCACCCAGGTGCTCTCTGACCTTGACCCAGACTGAGCTCTGACTGCAGCTACAGGCTGACCTCTGGATTCCGGCTAACGTCTGACCCTGACCTCACGGCTGACCACAGGCAGGTTTCTTTCAGGGGCGACCAGACCTGTGCCATGAGCTACCTCACGGTGTTGCCCAGGGGCATGGAGTGTGTAGTGTTCAGCATTGATGGGTCCTTCGCGGCCAGCGTGTCTATCATGGGAAGCGACCCCAAGGTCCGGCCGGGTGCAGTGGATGTTGTCCGGTGAGTGCCACCTTCCACGAGGGCTATATCTCCCTGGGGGGCAGGAGCCAGCAGCCCTGGGGGAAATATGTTGTTTTTCTGATTTGCTGTAGGAATTCTACCGGTCTCTGGGGCTGCGAGCTGAGAAGCCCTGGCTTTACCTCCAACAGTAATTTATTGAGTATCCTTGGGAAAATTTCTCCTGCTTTCTAGACCTCAGCTTGTCTGTTTCTTCCTCTCTCCCTCCCTCCCTCACTTCCTTCCTCCCTCCCTCAATTCCTTCCTTTTTTCCTTCTTCCCTCCCTGCCTCCCTCCTTCCCTCCCTGCCTCCCTCCCTGCACTCGTGCACGCATCCGCTGCTTTCTGAGGCCCCCTGTGGCTGGGCTGTGTGCTGGGCACTGATGCAGAGCGAGCTCTTAAGTCAGAGGACACTCAGAGTCTGGTGGGGAAAATAAGTCACAGGCATGAGAAACTGTAACCCAGGACTCCAAGTGATCAGAACCTCGAGAGTAGGACAGATGCCAGGCACTGGAAGTTCCTGGGGGCTGGAGACTGCCCTGCCTCACCCCAGTAACAGTGACGGTTTTGGGGAGAGAAGACGGGCCTGGCTCCTGGGCTCCTGGGAGACTGCTGGCCTCAAGATGCCCAGCAGCTCCGTAAGAACAGGCCTAGACAGGCTGAAGCCCATTTCAGGGGGCCAGCCTCCCCCTTGTAGAGCTAGGTCATTTGTTGCCATTACAACAAATCCCTCCTGCGTCACAGTCCCCCTCCCACTGCAGGGAAGGGGAGGCTGTGGTCCTTCCTCTCTGGGGGTCCATGATCCTCCCACTGCCTTCCATGGGCTCCAGGGTGCTCCCCATGGTGCTCCACATGGTGCTCCCCAAACCTCGACAGTCATCAGAAACTCCCCTTTTCATAAACACATCACTGGGCCCCACATCAGAACTAACCAGAATCCCTAGGGGTGATCCCTGCACCCCTGAGTTTGTGTAGAGCATCCCCAGATCCCTCAGATCATCATCCAGTTTTAGAACTCCCCATCTCTATTAGCTGGTTCTGGTGGCAGGTGCCATAAAGGTGCCCAACCAGGTCTGGGCTTACCTGACATCTTGCAGCCAGGATTCTGTGTGAAGTCAGCCAACCAGAGCTATCCCACTGCACTGTGAGAGCACAGAGGAAAGAGGCTGATTCTGCTTGGGAAGCAGGGAAGGCTTCCTGGAGGAAGGGGGGTCTTGAAAGATGGAAGATGGGAATATCAGGAGATGGTGCCGTAGGGGCTGTGTAGGGGAGTGCTGTGCAGCAGAAGAGCCAAGGGTTTGTTCAGGGGGCAGCAAAGCAGCTCTGGGTGGGCTGGAGAGATCCCATATGCAAAGGCAGAGCAGAGACATGGCCACAGAGGCAGAGAGAGGACTTGAGGCTCTACCTCAGGGCGCTGGGGAGCTGGAGATGCTGTTAGACAGAGGAGTGCTGGGGTTAGATTTGCGATGTACAGGAATCACCATGGAAACACTGCGGAGGATAATAATAAAGCCAGCCACACCAAGCATACCACCTTGCTATGCATGTTTGGGATTAACTCCTTTCGTCTTTAGGACAACCTTGTGGGGTAGTTCATATTATTATGCCCATTTTACAGAGGGGGAAACTGAAACCGTGGGAGGTTGGGGAGGGTTGAGTAATCTGCCCAGGGTTACAGGGCTCAGGTTAGATGTGGGTAGGAGTAGGGGTGGAGGGAAAGAGGCCGCCCAGGAGGCTTTTGTAGTGGCCCAGGAGAGAGATGGGGCCCGAGCTAAGGATGAGAAGCAAGGCTTAAGTGAGAGGGCTGGGGGAGGGGTTAAAGAGTCTGGCCTGGTGAAAGCGAAAGGCTTTCTTCCTGGAGGAGGAGGAGGGAGGGAGGCACAGGGAACAGGGAAGAATGAAAGGCGCCTGTCTCTGACTCTGAAGTGGCTGTGAGCAGAGGGGCAGGGGTGAGGAGATGAGTTTGGATATGGGCCTGTGGCATCTGCAGGCCTGATCCAGGGGAGATGTCCAGGGCTCAGCCCAGAGAGGGGATTCGGGGTCCCCCTTGTTCTCCCTAGCACGCCTCAGACTCGTCCCTCTGACGTCTCAGGAGGGCAGCTGCGGGCAGGGCAGGCTTCTGGGCATCAGGTGGCCTGCACTGGGCAGGGCTGGACCCTTCTAATGCCATCTCACCAGGCACTGGCAGGACTTGGGCTACATGATCCTTTACATCACGGGACGGCCGGACATGCAGAAGCAGCGGGTGGTGTCGTGGCTGTCCCAGCACAACTTCCCACAGGGCATGATCTTCTTCTCCGATGGGCTGGTGCATGACCCGCTGCGGCAGAAGGCCATCTTCCTGCGCAACCTCATGCAGGAGGTGAGTGGCCATCCTGGGGTGGGGACTCCATGGCTTGAGAGCGCAGCCCTCCTCTCCACCGCTCCCCATCTCCCTCCTCCCGGGTGGGGCCTTGTGATGTGCAGTCTGTAAATCCCATTCCCGTGGATCTGGATGGGCCCTCTAGCAGCCCTGTGAGGTAGGTTATTAGTCTCGTCGTTGACAGAGGAGAAAGGTGAGGCTCCGGCAACTTGCCCTAGATCTGAGTCAGACTTTCGTCCTTTATCTCCTGACTCTTGTCTCTACATCTGGCCATTCATCCAATAGACATTTAAGTGCCGATTGTGTTCCTTACTCTGTGCTTGTTGGGGCTGCACAGAGACAAACAGAACCAGGGGGGCAGAGGATGTGCTTTCCGTGACCCGGATGTGCTTTCTGTGACCCAGATGTGCTTTCCATGACCGAAGCTATGGTTCCCACTAGCAGCACCAGGAAACTCGGAAACTCGGGAGAAGTGCAAATTATCTGCCCTGCCTCCTCCTGCCACCCTCTTAGACCTACTCAATCAGAAACTCTGGGGAGGGGCTCAGGAACCTTTTCACAAGCCCTCCAGGGGATTCTGATGCACAGAAAGATTAATCAAGAATCCCTGACCTAGAGCAGAAGAGGCGTTGACATATAATGACCAAACCCAGCCCACAGCCTGTTTTGATATGACTGGTCAGCTAAGAATGGTTTTTACACTTTCAAATGGATGGAGAGAATAATCAAAAGAATGATATTTCATGACATGCAAATTACATGAATTTCAATGTCTCTAAATAAAAAAAGTTTGATTGGAACACAGCCAAGCTCATCTGTCTACGTATTGTCTATGATTGCTTTTGCAATACAACAGCAGAATTGAGTAGTGGTGACACAGTGCGAAGCCTGATATATTTACTATCTGGCCTTTCAAAGAAAAAGTCTGCAAATCCCTGATCTAGAGGAGGAAGGACATGTCAATTGACAACTACTGGTGTGTGGTTGAAAAAGGCCCTTTTAGCAAACAGAGGAGAAAGGACTTCAGTTTGTCCAGGGAGGGCAGGGAAGGCTGCTAGGAGGTGGTAACTTTTGAGCTGAGTCTTGAAGCATGAATTTGTCAGGTAGACAGTGAAACAGCATGTGCAAAGGCACGGAGGCAGGAGAGAGCTTGGGACGTTCCAGGCTTGGGATAAGTGCAGGCAGGGTTAAACCCAGGACAAGTGGGAGCTGAGCCCTCAGAGGTCATCAGGGGCCCAAACTTGGCAAATCTTGAAAACCTTGGAAACCAGGCCAAGATCATAAATTCTCTGCTGAGGGTCACGGGGAGCCATGGAGGAGTTTAAAGCAGGGAAGTGGCAGTGTCTAATTTGGCTTATAGAAAGATCCCATTGGTGGCTGTGTGGAGAACAGATTGGCAGGAGAAACTGGAGGCAGGGAGGCCAGTTAGGGGGCTGTTGCCCAAGCAAAAGACAGGAAGACCATAATCCAGGCGATGATGGGTATGGGATGGAGAGAAAAACATGGACAGGATTAGGAGGTGGAATAGTCGGGGCTCAGGGATGGTTGGATGCAGGGAGCGAGGAGTTCTAAGATGCCCGTGCTGGGTGACCAGGAGGGATCCAGGTGCTACACACCTGACCAAGGTCTCCATGGAGGCAGAGCCTGTCCGTTCTGCTCACCAATATAGCTTCTGCATTGGGGGTGATGATGCCACATGGTAGGGACTCCATAAATGTTGGTAGAATGAATAAATGAATGAGTGAGTGAATGAGAGGGGACATGAGAGGAGGACCAGGCTGGAGGGAGATGAGCTCAGCTGTGGACATGTCAAGGCTGATACAGCCACGGGACCTGATATGGCTTAGGGTAGTTCTGGGCTGCAGGTGGAGACTGGGAAACAGATGCATGAGACGGATCAGTGGAGCCATGAGACGGGAGATGAGGCGTTAGAAGAGGCTGTGCTGGGCCACTGAGAGCAGCACAAGGAGCAGCTGAGGAACCAGGAGGAGAGTGAGGGGGAGGAGGACCAGGAGAGAGAGACGAGACTCCAGGTATCGGGAGGAGAGGGCTTCAAGGAGATAGCGCCCCTTTTGCCGAGGGTGTGGGATGCTGAGAACTGCCTAGTAGACAAAGACTGGCCACCAGATGACCTTGTGAGGAAAAGACAGTTCGGAAGGACAAGGGGGCAAAAGTAGCAGGGAGAGGAGCAGAGAAAGTGGGTGTCAGCTGGGAGGGTCATGAGGCAGGTAGGCAGGGTCGCCAGAGCTGGAGGATCCAAGTTATAGGAGTGAGCTCAGGTGAATGAGAAGGTGGAAGGGCCAGACGAAGAGGGGCTGCTCCATCCTCTGAGCCAAAGGCCAGTTGGGAATAAACCAACCATTGAGGTGAGGGGCAGTGGGCTGAGGAAGCCCTCTCCTTGGTCCAGCATCGAAGGCAGTCACCTGCAGGATGGGGTAGGGCTCAGGGAAGGACAGGAAGAAGATGGAAGGTGAGAGCTGCGTGGCTCTGTTTCTTTAGCAGCTCTCGGTGGGCAGCATGTACAAAAACACAAGGTGGATAGTGGAAAAAATTTCCAGGGCTGAGATTTGGCCGGGCAGGTGTGGGAGGAGGATGAAGGGGTGAGAGAATCCGGGGTGGAGGCAAGGACACAGGGATGCCATGGGTCACTCAGGCAGGATGAGGAAGGGGCGAGGCAGCAGGGCTGGTGCAGAAAAGACAAGTGTCAGTAAGGCTGAGAGCAGCCAGGTGGGGGCTGGCGGAGAAGTGGTGGGGAGGGGGCAGAAGCCCTGAGCGGAGCGGACATGTGGAAGTTCACAGTTAGAGGGGCAGGTTCTGAGTTTGGTCCTGGAAGTGACGGCCACTGACGTGAAAGAAGGTGCGAAGCTGCCAGGCCGGGTGGGAGGTGGTAGATCCTTCACGTCATGCAGACCGTGGGTCATCCCAGTGATGGTGGGGCTTGGCAGGAAGGAAAGCTTGTGACCCAGGACCAAAGTCTCCAATGGCTTGAGAGGAGTGTGAGTGGGAGAAAAAGAAGATGACAGTGACAGGAGGCACACAGTGAGGGGCAGCTGGGTGGCGAGCACCTCACAGGAGGAGGTAGTTTGATCGGGTTTATCCTGGGGAGGGGAGGGAAGGGTGATGGTCTGGAAGTGCCCCTGGAGCAAGACGGACCTTGTGCAGTTCTCTGAATTGAATTGGGGATTCTGGGGTTGGGGAGGGGGGCGGTCATCACACCAGCCAGTGAGAGGCAGTGGGCACATGGCAAGCTGCAGTGTGGAGCGGTGTGGACAGCACAGGATCAGGAGCCAGGCAGAACTGGCCTCCAGTCCTGGCCCTGTGAGCCAGAAACCTGGAACTCAATTTCCTTATCCACAAAGGAACGCTTGCCTTCATTATTACTTAACCTGAGTGTACTGCTGTTGGAGGCGGGGCCGGTAAATGGTGTGGTCACGACTGTTTACTGGGCAGAGACCTGGGTTGGGCCTGGGGTGCAGGGAGGGGCAGCCACTCTGAGGGTTCATTCCTGACACAGGGTGGCCCCATGGCTTGGAGTCTACCAGAGTGCACATAAAGGGTCCCCAAGCAGGGGCCCCCTGGGGTTGGCCTGGGAAGGCTTTCCAGGGGGTGGGCTGGCCTCACTCTCCCCCTATGCCTGCCCTGTGTTTCAGTGCTTCATCAAAATCAGTGCGGCCTATGGCTCCA
This sequence comes from Homo sapiens, assembly GCF_000001405.40. Classification (NCBI taxonomy): domain Eukaryota; kingdom Metazoa; phylum Chordata; class Mammalia; order Primates; family Hominidae; genus Homo; species Homo sapiens. The sequence continues at coordinate 6,457,688 of NC_000017.11, read as the reverse complement.
CGAAGGACATCTCTGTCTACAGCGTGCTGGGCCTGCCTGCCTCCCAGATCTTCATTGTGGGCCGGCCCACCAAGAAGTACCAAACCCAGTGCCAGGTGGGTGGAGGCGGGGCTGGAGGCGGGGAGTTGTGAGGGAGGTCAGGGAAAGGGATAGAGGGAGTAAGCACTTCATTCATTCATTCATTCATTTGTTCATTCCCCCATTTGCTCATTCATTTATTCAACAAACACTTCGGGGTGCCTGCCTTGGGCCAGGGCCTGTGTTGGGTGCAGGGGGAGAATCCCAAGTGGAGCCAGATGCAATGAACTTCAGTGTAGTGGCGAGATGGACACATTTGCAGTTGGTGACAGTGGAGTGTAACAAGTGCCATGATGTATGACGGGAGCACAGGGAACTGTGGGGCCCTGGAGAGGGACCGCTAACCCAGACTCCAGGGCAAGGTTGGGTTTCCGGAATTTGAAGGAATGGTCCAGGAAGGGCCTGAGATTGAGAAGAATATTTGTGACAGAGGCAGCAGCAAAAGCCAAGGTCAGGAGGTGACACAGAACATGTATATTCTGGGAACTGCCAGTGACTCAGCTTGGCTGCATGGGACGTGAGCTGGGAGGTGGGGGGGCGGGGCTAGAACGGTCAGTGCGGCCAAGATGGCCTGTGTGGGGACTCTGAGAGGGTGTGGGATGAGCAGGTGTGTGATTCAGGAAGCTCCCTCAGGCTGCAGGTGGCAGGTGGTTCAGAGGAAGGAAAGAAAAGCCGAGAGGACATTGAAGAGAAAGTGGAGGGTCTGAGAGGCATTTTTTGGTAGGGGATGGATTGGGTTTGGTAATGCCCAGATCAGATGTGCAGGATGAGAGAAAGGGAAGGTGGAGGACAGCTACTTGGTCTGTGGCTTGGGTGACCACGTAGGAGGTGCCACTATTGGAATCGCGCAGCAGGTGGAAGGGAAGGAGTTGACCTCCCTCTGGGGCATGTCAAGTGTGCAATGCCTGAGAGTGACCCGCGGGTAGAGGGTCAGGAGATGGTGGCGTCTCCCAGTTGGGAACTCAGAGGCCCTGCTTCTCAAACTCTGAAGTGCACAAGCATCACCTGGAGATCTTGTTGACATGCATATTCTGATTCCATAGGCCTAGGGGCGGGGAGAGGGCCGGAAGTTCTGCCTGACAAGGTGCCAGGTGGTGTTGATGCTGCCAGAGTCCATGGACCACATATTGAGTAGCAAGGCTCTGGACACAGCCAGAAGGACTGGCAAGGAGGGCAGTCGCAGGGCTCAGAAAAATGACAAGAGGCATGGTGAGGCTGCGTGACGGGAGGGACTTTGCAGGATTCTAGTGAGCCAAGTGACAAGGATGGGCGCTTCCCCACCCTCAAGAATCCAGAGGCCAAGCACCCTGGCTCATGCCTGTAATCCTGGTGCTTTGATACGCAGGATTGCTTGAGCCCAGGGTTCAAGGCCAGCCCTGGCAACATAGCAAGACGCTGTTTCTACAAAAAATTTAAAAAATGAGCTGGGCATGGTGGCATGTACCCGTGGTCCCAGTTACTCGGGAGGCTGAGGCTGGAGTATTGCTTGAGCTGGCGAAGTTGAGACTGCGGTGAGCTGAGACTGGGCTACTGCACTCCAGCCTGGGCGACACAGCGAGACCCTTTCTCAAATAAATAAATTAATTAATTAAAATAAAATAGGAAAGAAAATCCAGAGAACTCTGGTGTGACCCATGGGTACAGGTAGAGATGCATGGTTGTCCAAAGCAGGATGGGGACCCTGGAACAGTAAAGAGCTCCCGACTTCCCCAGGGTTCCTTGGAGAAGCTGGAGGTGCCTCCGTAGAGTGTTCCCGGGAAATGATGGGGACAGGATCAGGATAAGGGGCCTGCCCCACCCCTCCGCCTGATGCCTGTCCCTTCCCCTCCCCTCCTCTCCCTTCCCTTCTTCCGCTTCCCTTCTTCTCCCTCCCCTCCCCTCCCCTCCCCTCTTCCCCCTCCCCTCCCTTCTTCCCCCTGCGCTGCTGCCCTGCCCTGCCCTCCCCTGCCCTCCCCTGCCCTCCGCAGTTCCTGAGCGAGGGCTACGCCGCACACCTGGCCGCGCTGGAGGCCAGCCACCGCTCACGCCCAAAGAAGAACAACTCGCGCATGATCCTGCGCAAGGGCAGCTTCGGGCTGCACGCGCAGCCAGAGTTCCTGCGGAAGCGCAACCACCTGCGCAGAACCATGTCAGTGCAGCAGCCCGACCCGCCCGCCGCCAACCCCAAGCCCGAGCGGGCCCAGAGCCAGCCCGAGTCGGACAAAGACCACGAGCGGCCGCTGCCGGCGCTCAGCTGGGCGCGTGGGCCCCCCAAGTTCGAGTCGGTGCCCTGAGGGGTGGGCTGTGCTCAGAGCAGGGAGCGGGGGGCCCAATCAGGCTGCCTGCGGGGACGGGAGGGGGCTGCCCTCTCCCCGACACAGGCGTTTTCCTGCTTTTTCCCTCCCGTGTCTGTCCAGCAGTGTCCGACCAGAGCGGGGAGGGATCCTGCCCGAGCCCGGGGGGCTCCCTGAGCTGCGACGGGGTGAGGTCCGGGGATCTCGGTGCAGCCACTGCTGCCTCCCACGGGCCTGCGACCGCAAGCCCAAGTCAGGGTTCATGTTTGTGTCATCCTGGGGGCAGGCTTGCCCGGGGCTGAAGCGTTTGGGCAAAGTCGACCACCCTCCTGCGTCCCCAGGCTTCACAGCGAGCTAGGCAGGCCCTCAAGGGGGCAGCCCCAGCCTCGGCACCAAGCGCCGCTGGCAGGCACAGCCTCTGGGCTGTCTTGTGGAGGTGTGAGTGGCATTTGTGCCCGCCCTTCCTGTGGTTTGGGTCACCATTTTGGGGTTGGCGCTCTTATGGCAAGATGGCCACTTTCTGGGAGTGAGAGCACATCCCCGGGCTCATGTTACGCCGTCTCTGTCCACAGCCCTCGGGGGTGGGGTCTGGTGCTGACGGTCTGTCCTGCAGCTGTCCATTGTCCCCAACCCCCGTTGTCCTCAGTGTCCTCACCATTTCCCTGTGGCCCTGGAGGCCAGGGCTTCCTCTTCCCGGAGCCCTGCCTCATGCCCTCCCTTGGGAGGCTGCAGCCTTGGGCTCTGGCTCAGCTGGGCTGGCTGTGAGCCCCTGAGCTGGTTGCTTGCCCTCTCTGGGCTCCGTCTTCCTTCTGTTATTGGAGGGGTCCCCCTAGCTGAGATTGGTGTGAGTCTTTGACTCCCAAGATGTCCTGCAGTTTGGCCCATTGAGGCTCTTCAGGCCTAAGGGTCCCTCCGAGTGTCCTGTGACCCACACCTTTCACACAGCCTGGGAGAGGGGGTCTGGGTGGGCTGGAAAGGAGGGGCTCTTAAAGGAGCCTCTCTGGGTGGGCTGGGAAGGGATCCCTACTCCACGGAGAGGTGCAGCTGGTTTGCCTTGCACTGCGTGTCCCAGGGACAACCCACTCAAACTGGGTGTCCTAGGGACAACCCACCTCCCTCTCCTGCCAAAAGGTTACTGATTGGGCTCCCCATAACCCCAGCTCTGCCAGGACCCTTTTATCCTTTTTGGCTCCCAGAGGCATAGAGCTGAGATTCCAGGGTTCTAGGGGTTCCTGGAAGTTTGGCTCCAACTGTTGTATTCTCTTCCCTTTCCCCTGCTGCTCAGTTTGTGCCCATAACCTCCTCCTGGGTAGTCCCCTGAGGTTGGCAGGACTTGGCCCTTCTGGGGCCCCTAAAGCCTGCTCAGGCCCTCCTGCTGCTGAACCTTGGCCTGGGCACTGCTTTCCTGCATCCTGGAAAACCCCGACTCCCTGGCCCAGGCCCACACCTGCTGTGTGGGGCTGCCCACGTGGCCACTGAGCCCCCATAGGCTGCCATCAAGGCCGGTCCCAGCAATTTCAGCCAGGCTGCCCCAGGGCCCAGACGTCTGTATACACAGCAGGCACCTGTGTCAGCTCAGTGTCGCTTCTGCTCAATGTCTACCTCTCGCGGCTCCCATGCAGCCAGTGACGCTGCTGGTGGGGGCGGCTGGCACCGCCGTTGTGAATTGCCTGGCAAATTGGGTGCCCTCCTGGGGCTGGAGGGGTCTGGGCTCCTAACCCCCATCCCTGCTCTCCCCACTAGAAATGTGTCTTCAGTCTGCCAGCTCTTCTGCTCTACTTCCAGTGCTGCATCCTGCACTCAAGCCCAGGGCTGCTGGCGAGTCTATGGGGAGGAGTGCGGATCAGGCTCAGCCTCAGCCTCAGCCTCAGCCTCCTCTATGGTCCTGTCTCCTGGCGGTTCACAGGTGCCCATCCCCCCTTTAACATTTCACAGTTCTTGGCTTTCCAAAGGCACCAGCTCATATGGCATAGCCACCCCAACCCTAATCCTTCCCCCAAATATCCTGATTTAAACTTGGGCAGACTTAGTCTGATTCTTGAAAACTCTACCATCTCCTTCTTGCAGAAGGCACTGGTTACACTAAAATGATAAAATAATTAGTATGGGGTACTTTGCTCCCAGTTACATTCCCTCTTCCCTGAGAACCCCAGGCTAGGCGAGAGAGGGAGAGGGAGAGAGAAAGAGAGAGAGGGAGAGAGAGAGAGAGAGAGGGAGAGAGAAAGAGAGAGAGAAAGAAAGGAAGACAGAGGAAAGAAAGGAAGACAGAGAGAGGAAGGCAGAGAGAGAGAGGGAGAAAGAAAGACAGGAAGGCAGAGAGAGAGAGAGAGAGAGAAAGGAAGACAGAGAGAGAGAGAGAGGAAGAGAGAGAGAGAGAGGAAGAGAGAGAGAGAGCTCATGAGCCAGGATCCCTGGGGAATTTGAAGTCAGTGTGACCAGGGTTCTGTGGCTCTGGGGTCAGAGCTGGGACACAGGACCCAGCAGGAGGGCCACCACCCCTTCCTTTTGGAAACAGCTCTGGTTCCAAGCAGCAATCAGGTAGGAGGATCGGGGCTTTGGCTGATGATGCACACACAAGATGCTGATGGTGTACGGTGAGATATTGTGAACGCAACAACTGGAGCTGTAGTTGGCGTGTGTGAGTGTGTACCTGCGGTTCTGTTTAGTGGCGAGACAAGGTATGTTTCAGTACTGCTTTCACGGCAACTGTGTAATGCATATGCTCTTTCTACACTAGCGGTTTGCTCAGTTTTGTCTGTCCGGTTAAGTTGGAGAAAGAACCAAGTTGTGTTGTTCTCTGGAGGGGGTGCTGCTGCCTCTCCTTGAGTAGTTCTGTGACCCCCAATCCAGCTGTTTTGTAGAGAATCCTTCTAGCTTCTGGTATGCCTGCTCTCCAGCAGCTGGAAACAGATCTTCCTGCCTGACCAAAGCTCCTTGTTTCTTGCGTGGCATGTTTGTTCTTCCCGATCCGGTGGCTGTCGTAGCCGAGGGCCTGCCTGCCACCTTCCTTTATCATTTGCCCTGTTGGGGTTCAGGGTGCATCCTTAGCCCAGGACCTGCTCTTCCAGCATCATGGGTTTTTTCCTAAAGATCTCAACGGCTCCCTTGGGCTCCATAAAATATTTCTTTTTTAAAAAAGCAGACTCCTTTCATGCATTGGGATGAACGGCCCTCTTGTCTGGGTGCTGGGCTACAGCAAACAAATGTGTTTGAATCCCAGTATTCCAGAGATTCCTGGCGGTGGGCTGTCTAGAAGAGGCGAGGCTGGATCTCACGGTTTTTAAACTGTATTTTTACCCCTTTGGGACCCATACCTGTGCCCTGGAGTCTTTCATGAGGCACGTGGGTCCTCTGCATCCTCACTCTCCCCCCTAGCCCAGGTGCAGCCCCGGGAGGGGTGCCCTGACCCCGCCTTAAACAACCAACTTTCCCACCGAATCCCATCGGCGGGCGGGGGGGGGGGGTTTGGGTGCCAAGTGCCCTGGAAACCTATTGTCTTTTGGCTCAGCCAAAAGAAACATTCCCTCCTTCCTTTCCTTCCGGGCTTGGGGGAAACCTTCGTAAAAATCATAGTTAGGGTTAAGTCCAAGCAGTGAGGCCTGACCTGGGCTCTGCTCTCCTTGTTGAGACACTAACAGGCAGTTGGGAGGAAAATCTGCATTTGACTCCACCCTCTTTGGGGCAAAGGAGAAACAGGTGACCCGAGGGGGGGCAGGCCAGAGGAGGGCGACTCGTGCACAGGGACCCCCACCCTTGGACCCCGCTGTCCTTTTCTAGTTGTTTACTTGGTGGTGGCAGCCAGTCTGACCTTGTCTGTGGTCTGACTGTTCCTAAGTGTGTAACTTTCAGTATTATCTGTGACAGATGGTTCTGTGGTGAAAAAGGTTTATTATATTCCTTATGGCTGCCTTGTACAAAATCCGTTAGAAACGCTAATGTAAGATATCAGATTTCTAACAAGACAAAAACAGCATTATGGAGTTAAAAGATTTTTACAACTGGGTCTTGATTTTGATGTGAGCTGGTTTTTAGCTCTCAAATGTTGTCACTTAAATAAAAACCTTCTTTGCCTTTACAATGTGTTTTGGTCTGAACTAAGTTGAGAAACCTTTCCCTTTCTACATGTTCTCCCTGGGGTGGGATTGGGGGCAGACTGGCTCGGAGCAGAGGTGGATGAGGGCCAGACCCCAAACCACAAATTACAAATCTATAGCCCAGAGTGGTGTGGGAGGGCGGGGGAGGTTGGAGGTTGCCGGTGAAAGGGAACAGATGTCAAATGCAAATAGTCTTTATTATGAGAAAGCAGTGTTATCTAGGAAAGTCACACGCTGGTTTCTTTCTAATAAAATGACAAAGCAGGTTTCTTAAATAATTTACAAAGGGCAGAAATTGCTCTTGAACAGGGCTACCCCTCCTGGCACATCCACAGTGCTCTGCACTGAGCATATAAATAGGTACCCGTGAGCCCAGGGTCGTAAGCCTGGAAATATCTCCTATGCCTTCCTCCGAGTCCCTGGTAGGGAAAGGAGGGATGAGAGTGGGGCCCTCAAGAGCCTTGGCACCAGAAACACAGTGGGTGAGTGACTCTGCGGATGACTCCCCAAAAACCAGGCACCCGGGTACAGAGCTAAGAGCTCTCAAATATCTGATGCTAGCACTTCATGTTATAGATGAGGCAAATAGAAGGCTCAAGGTCAAGTGTACGATGAGTTTCTAAGCTCAAGAGTCCCCTAGGAAAGCAGAAGGAACAATTCTCCCCCTCTGCAAGGTCTCCCCAAGACACTCTCAGGCTATGGCAGGCAGTCACTGATGGGTCCAGATGTGGCTGGAGCAGGGGGCTCTGGGCCCCTTGTTAGGTGCTTGTTAGCAGTGGCCCAGGGGTACTGACGACTCCCGGGGGTTTTTTCCAGGAAGCTCACGGGGAAGCATAGACATCCTTGAGTATGAAGCCTTGGCGGTCAGACAGGGCTTGTTTCCTTCAAGACAGAGCTGCCTTTTTCACTGTGCTCAAGGTAGGAGAAGTAGGGATGCCTTTCCCTGCTCACTGCGGGGTGGGGGGTGCTGGAAGGTGGCTGTAGCTACTTGGGGCCCCCAGCGTGCTGTTAATGACGGGGTCAGTGAGGTTAGCAGCTCTGGCTTCAAGCGGCAAGTAGGTACTACCTACTCTGCTGTGCCCATCAGCTCTGTGGGCTTTTTCTTTAACTTGCTCATGCATGAGATGGAGGAGAAGGACAGTGAGAAAGACTCTTGGGAGGTGGGCATTACCTGCAGGCACTTCCTCAGTCATGAATGAGAGAGACGATGTCACCACTAGAGAGAAGGGGAGGGATTGATGCCACTGGGTGTGGTGGGCTCTGAGAGGGCCCTCCCAGCCTGAGCTACACAAGATCAGACCCGGAAATGTGGTAGGAATATGGCCCCTCAACACATAGAGCTGGCAGGGCCCAGCCTTAGAGCCCATCATGGCCATTATACAAGTGGAATGGGGAAACAGCCCCAAGTTAGGGGAGGTCCACAACCGAGGCCCTGCCCCCAGGATGGGGCCATGAGCAGACAGACCAGGAACTCCATAGCAGTCAGGTTGCTTTTCCCAATTCCATAGGCAGGCAGGGCACAGACGAGCCACGGAGAGTTCTGGAGGAAGGGCAGGTTTTTCAGGAACCAGCCACACGTGAGGTTCCAAGTGATGGACAAACATGGGGTCCCAAGGCCCAGAAGACCACACACATTCAGGCTACATCCTTTACCATCACCCCAGTCCAGGATTTTGTCCTTTCTCATGTTTGAGATGAGGGAGACTGAGGCCCAGAGAGGGGCAGAGACTGGCCAGGGTCACACAGCAGGTCAGAGCAGAACCAACGCCTGCCTACAAAGATGGCTGGAGGGGCCCTCCCGGCCCCTTCACTTTGAAGCATGGGATGCCAACTCACCTCTCTTCCGCCATAATGGCTTCATCTAGCTCTTGGGACAGCTTCTGGAGATGCTGAATTCCCGCCCCCACAGGCTCTAGGTCACTGTCAGACTCGCTGCATGAAAGAAAAAGCCACACCAGTGACTAGTTGGAAACTCCCGGCAGGAGACCCTTGCAACCCGGTACCGGGGTGTGGTCTGTGGGCCCAGATGACCCTGGCGGGCTGGGCTTCACTCCAGACCCTCACTCCAGGAGGTGACCTCAGAGCGACAAACAGAGAGAAGATCAAGATCCACGAGGCCAAGGTCACGGGCAAGTGATTTTGCAGCTTCCCCACTTGGAAACTGAGCCTCAGCTCTCCAGGTGGCTTCAAAACTTGCTTCTGGGCTCACTAGGAGGCTTGGGTGAGTGTGATTGTGTCAGAACTAAACTCAGCTCTTCCTTTACGGACAGAGAAACTAAGGTCCTAAAGGATTTTCTCAGGTCCCCTGCTGGCTCTGGACGCGGAACCGGGTCAGAATACAGATGTGGAGAGTATTTTTGAAGTGTACACAAGCCTTATTTTAGCTTACAGGTTTGCAAAGAGCCACCTGGTCACTTACATGCATCCTGGTGACTACCTGCCACAACACAGGTGCAGCGGCTAGGCAGCCTTCCCTGAGAGCTCCGAGATGGGACCAGGAAACTGCCAGGGACTGCCGATTGGGATGAGCTTCACCCCCTGCCCTGAGCCAGGCCACTTTCTGGGCCTGTCTGAGAACTAGAAGATTCTGCAAGGCAGGCCAGCTTGATCGGTGGGGCAGAACATCCAGATGATCTGGACCCCAGCCTTTACTCCTCTATTTCTTACAGGATGACCCTCAGGCTAATCACCAAACCCCTCCGGACCTCCGTTTCCTTACCTGTCAAATGGGACAAACAGAGCCTGCCTTAATTACAGCTCAAAGTTCCTATTAGGCTAAAGAAAGATGCTAGCCCTCAAAGAAATCTGGGGAAAAATTCAACAGCCCTAAGCTACTATGCAGCCTTAACTAACACACTCCATTTCCCCCTAGAACTCAGCCGGAAAGTTGAAATACAATCCTTAGGAATCTAGTTGTTGTTTTGTTTTCTTTCTCTCTCTCTTTTTTTTTTTTTTTTTTTTGAGACAGGGTCTGGCTCTGTGGCCCTGGCTGGAGTGCAGTGGCGCGATCTCAGCTCAATGCAACTTCCACCTCCCGAGTTCAAGCGATTCTCCTGCCTCAACCTCCCAAGGAGCTGGGATTACAGGCGTGCACCACCACGCCCAGCCAATTTTGTATTTTTAGTAGAGATGAGGTTTCACCATGTTGGCCAGACTGGTCTCCAACTCCTGACCTCAGGTGATCCACCCGCCTCGGCCTCCCAAAGTGCTGGGATTACAGGTGTGAGCCACTGCGCCCAGCCTGTTTTCTCATTTTCTGATGAGCAAATACATGCACTGGATATCTGCTAAAGCAGGACACACATTTAACAGTAAGAATAATAATAATACAATATGACGCTGCTCAGGGTGCCCCTGGCTCCAGGTAGCCACAGGGGGTGCCAAGAAACCCCTAGGGCCCAGTTGGTGTCTGGGAGGTCAGACAGCAGGGATTGTGCCCAGGTTAAAAGGCCACCAGCCCCGGGGTGAAGCACTATCCCACTTGCCTGGGAGAGCAGAGGGGCTCTGTTGAGGAGTAGGGGCTCCGGAAGGCAGCCTCCCGCCTTGATCGCCGTAATGGGTGGGCATGTGAGCCCATCCGGACAGAGAGGCGGTGATGCTCCTTCTCCCAGGGGTCTGCGGCTGAGTGGGCAGGGGCGGCTCCAGACAGCCGGGTGCTCTTCTGGCTCAGGCTGTGAGTTGGGGATCCACTGCCCTTCTGTGCTCCTCTCTTCCGCCTCCTGGCCTTCACCTGGGTCTCCACCAGCCACTTGGTGCCACTTTGGCAGGACTCCTGGATTCTCTGGAACAGGCAAATGGAAAGGTTAGCACAGACAAAACCAAAAGTTAGGCCGGGCGCGGTGGCTCACGCCTATAATCCCAGTACTTTGGGAGGCCGAGGCAGGCAGATCACCTGAGGTCAGGATTTTGAGACCAGCCTGGCCAACATGGTGTAACCCCATTTCTACTAAAAATGCAAAAAAAAATTAGCCAGGCGCGGTGGCGGGTGCCTGTAATCCCAGCTACTTGGGTGGCTGAGGCATGAGAGTCGCTTGAACCCGGGAGGCGGAGGTTGCAGTGAGCCGAGATCGCACCATGGCACTCCAGCCTGGGCGACAGAGTGAGACCCTGTCTCGAAAACAAACAAACAACAACAAAAAAAAAAACCAAGGGTGAGCTACCTTGGTCTCCAGACCATACAAGCAACCCCTACACTCAGCAAGTGTCCTGTAAATACAGGCTATTGTTAGTCTCCAGGGTGAAGGATGTGAATGACTCCTCATGGAATGAGTCCACGGCTGGGACCCAGCTCAGAGCTCTTGGATATGACAGCAGCAGTCAGCCGCAGGAGGACCCCCCTGGTGCCTGGAGCCTGTTTGTCTAAGTCCAAACTCTCTTTCCAGACAGACGGTGACCCCAGGACTGAAGGAGAGGGCCCCAAAAGAACAGGCCACCCCGCCCAGCACCCCCTGTACACCAAGAGAGCACCTGTCTTCTTGCCTCGGGTCTCACTCACTCTATCCACCCTCCACAGTGGTCCATAGTGATCCTTCTAAAGGGCAGTTCTGACCGTGACACTCAACTGCTCAAAACTCTTCTGTGGCTTCTTGTTGCCCATAGGACCAAGCCCCAACTCTTGGGCCTTTCACACCAGCCGGGTGACAGCCGTGAAGGCTCTTCTTCATCAGCTAGACTGTCTTTGCCTTGACAAGCCAGAGCCCAGTGTTTGGAGCGAAGCCCAAGTTAAATTTGATGAGTTATGTGACCTTGGACAAATTCATTTCATTTCTCTGATCCCTGAGGGTGGTGAAAACAATCAAAAAGTGCTTCCAAATAAGGACTAACATTTGGCTCAGAGAGCTCTCTGCAGAGGGTCCAGAAAGAGCCACCCACTTTCTGGAGAATTCTTTCATCTTCAGAATTCCCAATGAGACACCGAGGAGAAGCCTCTGCAGCCCCCAATCCTCTCCCTGGAGGTCTGTTCATCCTAATGGCTTCTGTCCTTTCTAAGTGACACGTCTACACCTCCAGCTCTGGGTTTAAAGATGCATCCCTTGAAGGGTCCACAGACACTTACATCCAATATAAGGACGTCTTCCTGACAGCAGCTCTCATTTGACAGCAAATCCCCTCTAACTGGACCTTCTCGGCAGCTCCTGAAGTTTATCCCCTGCAAGTCCAAACCCTTAGTCTCCATCAGGAGCATCTCTGCCTCTATTCCCTTCTCCATCATGTAGCTAAAGGGCAAATTCTAATATGCTAATTAGACCAGACTTTCCACTGTTTAGAATCTTCCGGACTCCTGATCATTCCTGGGAGAGTTCTAAGCTCCTTCATATCCTTTCCCCCTGCTCTACCTTGCTCTCTGTCATCTGTTCATACCCAGACTACAATTCTGGCTCTCCTCAGGGATACACAGCTGAGTGGGCAGTACACCTTGCTTTCCCTCAGCTCTAGGCCTGGACTTGCACTATTTCCCCTACCCTAAATACCCCTTGACCTTTGCTTCCCTGGGTGAACTCTGGAATCACCTCCTCTGGGAAGCCTTCACCGACTAAGCTTGCATTTGGTGAGCCTCACTATTGGTCACTTGCTTTGCAATTTCCTATCACGTACAGCTCTTATCACCTGGTATTGTGAGCATCTGTTTCCTCCAAGACATGCTTTCATTCACTCATTCAACTATTTGTTGAGCACCTATATGTGCCAGGAACTATCTGGGGTGGTGGGGAAACAGCAGTGAACTAACCAACGTCCCTGTTTTCATGAAGTCTATATTCTTGAGGCTCTTTGAGGGCAGGAACTGCCTGGCACCAAGGAAACACTCCATAAAAAAGATGATTAGTGTTGTCAGTATTACCTGGGACACGGCACCCAAAGCACTCTTAGCTGAGCGAGCTGCAGCCTGGAGGCCCTGCTGACCTGGCTCTGGGGTTTCCAGGCGTTTCCAGGAGGGCCCTGCGCGGAGGTTGAGGTTGACGGCTCTCAGGGGCAGCCTCCTTTGGAACTGTCTGCACAGGGACCCCAGGGCCCCTACAGAGGTCTCCTGATGGCTGACCACAGGCTGCAGCTCCTTGCTGTCCTCCAGCTGCTCCTGGTGCTGGAGAGATCTCCGGCGCACGGAGGTCCCCATGTTCTGCCACCGAGAAGCCATCTGCCTGGCCAAGAGTCTTCTCTGTCCACTAGACCCTGGGGAGGAGGGCGAAAGGCAGATCAGCAAGGCATTCCCCATACCCATTCCCAGGCCCCACAGAGACCCTGGACACAGGGGAAGAGACGGGATGCAGCGGGGTGGCGGGGGCGGGCGAGTTGGTAAGTGTGGGTGCAGGAAGGAGGATGCTTCCTGGAAGAGGGGCCTCGGGTCAGCAGCATTTCTGATGTCCCGCCCTTCAAGTTTCCAAAACAGCTGTCTTTTCATCCCAACCTCCTTCCTCTCTCTGGCTCAGGCGAGGAGGGGAGGCAGGGTCAAGACACGCCGTAGCCGAGCTTCAGCGCTGGGCCCAGGACACGATCACCATCTTCTTCACCAGCTCGCCCAGACCAAACGCGCACCCGCCCAGACCCCGGCCTTCCCACCAGACGCCCCGATTTCGATCCGACTTCTTGTGGTACCCAGACGACCCCACAGGCCGTGCGTGTCCGAACCTGATGCCCTCCCCTGTGAACAGAACCTGATGCCCTCCCCTCCGAACAAAAAAATTGTTTTGAGTCCAGATCGCGCCATTGCACTCCAGCCTGGGCAACAAGGGCGAAACTTGTGCCCAGCCCGCACTCACCCGACACCACTAAGGCCGAGCACAGCCGCAGCACAGCTGCTCCTCGCCCACCGCAGCCGATTTGAAACTCTGCGCGGCTCCGCCCCCGGCCCCGTCCTCACAGCTGATTGGTTCCGTCCCCGCCCCCGCCACCGCCACCGCCCCGGGGATCCGATTGGCTCCCTCTCTCGCGGCTGCAAATGCTGCGCTTGGATTGGCCCGGCCGTGCCCATTCATCGCTCCGGCCCCCGCCCCGCCGCCAGCCTCGTGGCTCCGGGCTTTGTATCCTGCGTCCCGCTCGCGCCACTGCCCTTGCTAGCCCAGCCCCCGCGCATCGCACACCGGGTCCCCTCCCTGGAGCGCGCACAGGGTTCAGGCTGCTCTGACCCATGGGGTGGAGGCGGAGGTCCTGGGACCTAGGCCTCCTGGCTCAGGCCCCAGGCCCCAGGCCCGGCAGCGGGCAGAGACCCCTCTCATCCTGCCAAGGGGTCTGGCTTTTCCTTCTTGCTCAGTGGTTTTGTCAGAAGGAGCCAGGGACTGGCAGTGCAGAGCCCTGGGTTCCCAGAGACGTTTTCTTTCAAATTTCCCTCCTGACCCTCCCTTCCTGTGACAAGACACTGTCCCTCTCTGAGTTCCCCATACTCGCCATCCACGCTCCGCCCTCCCTAGAAAACGCGTCCCGGAAGCGGGGATAGACCAGAGTACCGGTCTGCCCTCCACCCGTCTACACCGGCTCCCCGCCCCCGCCTTGCCCCACGCATCCCTCCCTCTCTCCAGCGGAATGCCTGCCTCTCTTCTCCTTAGCATCCAAACAAATGCAGCCATTATAAAGCTCTCTCCAGCTCATCTTTCTCCTTTCGGTGACCTCAGAGCAGTGCTGCCCACTCCCCCGGCTGGTTTCTTTGTTACTTCTCCGCACAAGAGCCTGAGATGATGGCTTCTTGAGACTCTGTCTTCAGCCCTCTCCGTTTCTGGGTGGTCTCACCCACTCCTTTGGCCTCAGTGATTTCCAAGGAAAGGATGATGATAATGATTAACGTGTATATGGCACTTAGTATGCACAGGTACCGGTGTTGCAGTTTATTAACTTACTTGATCCTCTGCTATGGTTTGAATGTGTCCCTCAAATTTCACATGTTGGAAATGTAATGCCCAAATTCATATATCGGTGGCATTTTTTGTTTGTTTTTGAGACGGAATTTCACTCTTGTTGCCCAGGCTGGAGTGCAATGGCATGATCTCGGCTCACTGCAACCTCCGCCTCCCAGGTTCAAGCGATTCTCCTGCCTCAGCCTCCCTAGTAGCTGGGATTACAGGTGCCTGCCACCACGCCTAGCTAATTTTTTGTATTTTTAGTAGAGATGGGGTTTCACTATGTTGGCCAGGCTGGTCTCGAACTCCTGACCTTAGGCAATCCACCCGCCTCAGCCTCCCAAACTGCTGGGATTACAGACGTGAGCCACCGTTCCTGGCTATCGGTGGCATTTTTTAAGACATATAAATTGTTATTTATTCAAATTATAGAATATTATACAGCACTGAAAAATAAGCAAATTGTAGCCAGATGGTGTAACTTAAGTCAATCTCAGAAATATGTTAGATTAAAAAAAAGCAATATGCAGACAAACATAAAGTATGACACTGTATAAATTCAAACGCAAAAAAGCTCAACAATATGGTTTAGGAATATGCACATACATTTGTGGACAAAGCTATTATGGAAAGCAAAGGAATTGAAACACCAAAATAAAATAAGTCGTCGTTTTTGGAAGGGTGGCAGGAGAAGAGGATGTAATGAGGAAAGGGCTCAAAGGACTTCAAAGATAATGTTCCATTTTGTAGGCTGGGTGGTGGCCACATGGATGTTTACTTTCTTCTTTTTTATTTTTTTTCTTTTAGACAGGATCTTGCTCTGTTGTCCAGGCTGAGGTGCAGTGGTACAATCATAGCTCACTGCAGTCTCAACCTCCTGGGCTCAAGCAGTCCTCCTGCCTTGACCTCCCAGAGTGCTGGGATTACAAGCGTGAGCCACCTTGCCTAGTCTTTATTATTCTTTAAACCATATATGTAAGTAATTTTATACGTATCACTTTATAAATGCGTGTGTATACACATACCTGTACATATATTATTTTCTAAGTATGAGCTACTTTGTAATTTTCTTTAAAATTTTTTTTAAAATTGACAAGTAATAATTAAACATTTATGGGGCACATAGTGATGTTTTGATACATATAATGTAGAGTGATCAGATCTGGGTAATTGGCATATTCATCATCTCAAACATTATCGTTTTTCTGTGTTGGTAAGAGTCAATATCTTCCTTCTAGTTATTCGAAACTATATATTATTGTTCACTCTAGTCATTCCACAGTGCTATAGAATACTAAGCTTATTACTCCTATTTAGCTGTAACTTTGTGTCTTTTAACAAATCTCTCCTATTCCTTCCTTGCACCTACCATTCCCAACGTCCAGTATGTTGATGAGGTGAGGCCTTTGGGAGGTAATTAGCATTAGATAAGATCAAACAGATGGGGCCCCCATGATGGTACTGGTGGCTTTAAAAGAAGGGGAAGAGAGACCCGAGCTGACAGGCACGCTTTTGCCCTCTCACCATGCGATGCCTTCTGCCATGTTACAACACAGCAAGAAGGCCCTTACCAGATGCCAACCAGATGCCAGTGCTATGCTCTTGAACTTCCCATCCTCCAGACCATGAGCTAAGTGTCTTTTCTTTATAAATTATGCAGTCTGTGGTATTCAGATATAACAACAGAAAACGGACTGACATCTTCATTGTACCTACACTTGATGAGGAAGCTGAG
This sequence comes from Homo sapiens, assembly GCF_000001405.40. Lineage (NCBI taxonomy): Eukaryota > Metazoa > Chordata > Mammalia > Primates > Hominidae > Homo > Homo sapiens. Next base: position 6,441,682 of record NC_000017.11, on the reverse strand, counting down.
AATACAGAATTTGGTAGGGCCCAAATTTCACTCAGTTAGTCTACACCAGGGCCAAGGGTTCAAACTTCATCAGTCTAGGGCTAGGGTCCCTGTGCCTAACCACCACACCACACTGCCTTCCTCAGCCCCTAACACCTCCACCCCCAGCTTGAGCCTCTCATCTGACATGTATAGCCAACTACCTCCTGGGTCTCATCTCCTCTTGAATGCTGCAGGCATCTTAGATAAACACACCCTAGCTGAAGTCACCCTGGTCTCCTCAATCCTCCTCCTCCCCCATATTCCCTCTTGCCTGTGATCCATTAAGCACTGTGCTAAAAAATGGGCCACAAAGGTCAACAAAACAGATACATTCCTTACTGTCATGGAGCTCAAATCTAGTGTGTGGGGAGACATAGACATGAAAGGATCAAATAACCAATAATCAGTTAATCAAAGAACTATGCAAAACTTATGTTATTGAAAGCTGAGACCTAGAGAATGAGTTAACCAGGCAACGAATGTGTGTGTGTGTGTGTGTGTGTGTGTGTGTGTGTGTGTGTGTGTGTGTGATCTTCTTGGCTCAGGGAACACCACGCTTAAGGAACCAGCATTCACTGTAAGAGACCCAGCACACACACACGTGAACTGAAACAAAAGTTTCATGAAACAATACTTGACTATGTGTGATATGACCTGAGATTTTATTTTTTATTTCATTTAAAAAAACCTTGATGGTTACAACCCACTATATTCATTCTACGAGTCACTAATGGAGTATGAGTTGTGGTTTGCAAAATATTGCTCTAGTTTGCCTGTCCATTTTGTTCACAGTGAAGTTGTTTATCAAGAGTCAGAAATGCTTGTTTTCAAACCTGTTTACAACAGTTGCATTTGTTACTGTAATTAAGGAATTTAACTGATGTCTTTTACCAGTGAAATCCAAGGGGGAAAAGAAAAAGTTGTTGTTTCTATGAAAACTAAGATGAAAGTGTGGGAAAGACTCCATGAAGGTGAAACATTTAGAAACAAGCCAAGTCTCTCAAACCGGAGTGTCTTATCACAATAGCCTCCCCAGTGCCTGTCATGTCACAGGCATCCGTAATAATAGCTTATATTTTTTGAGCCCTCACCATGTGTCAGACTCTCTGCTAAGGGCATTTACTTTCTTTATTCTTTTTTAATCCTCAAGCAATTCTATGAAGTAGGTACGTTTTTTATTTCCATTACAGATGACAAAAGTGAGATGCAGACAGGTGAAATATCTGGTCCAAGATTGTATGGGATGTCAGAACTGGAGCTTAAATCCAGTGACTGACTTCAAAGCCTGAATTCTTACCCTTAGATTACACAACTTTGTTAAGATCAGGGGTGAAACAATGAATGCATGCATGCATAAAGAGGCCCTCCCTGCTTGGAGCTTTCCACCATCTTCCCTCACTCAGAATGGTAACTGGCAGGCCAGGTTAATGAAGAACAGTCTCCATGGCAACAAGTAAAGGGGGAAGAAACATTTTCTTATGAATGGGAAGCCTTTCCCTTTTGCCTTGCGTGGAGTGGTGGCTGGAGGGAGGGAAGGAGGCTGTACTCAGGGGAAGGAGGCTCCTAGTCCAGAGGTCGGTACATTGGCTTCTGTTCTTGGTAAGGAGGAAAAACCAGTCACTTTTTCCTAGCAGAGGCTTTTGGAGGGGGAGGGAATCCAGCATCACCCTTGCCTCCGTTGGGGAGGGGGACAAACGAGGAGCTCCAGCCCTGCTCTCCAGGGGCTCTTTGTCCAAGAGCAAACATTCCACTAGTTTCCTTGACCTCCTGAAACTGTCAATCTGATGGAAGACATAGACATTAAACACATCATTGTAAACAATTACAATGGGGCAAAATAGCATGAATGTGCAGTGCTAGGGAGAAGTGACAGGGTATAAGGGGCATGGGGAGATTGACAGGAGCTGGAGGTCAGGGTAGTCTTCCCTGAATGTGTGGTGTTTGAAGTGAGGAGCTAGTGGGCCAGTGGTTGGGAGTCTGGAGCATTGCCAAGCGTTAGGACTGGGGAAAGCCTAGACAAAAAGGGTGGGGCTGAGATGAGGGGCTGAGGGTAGGGGATGGGGTGGCAAGAGACAGGGTCTGTAGGCCAGAGAAGGAGCTTAAAATTTGTCCTGAAGGTGGTGGCAACTCTTTGCTGAATTTGAAGAGGGCAGTAGGTTATTAGATTGGCATTTTAATAAAGTCCATGAGGAGACTGGTTTGGGAGCAGCTATGGTTTTAATGTGTCCCCCAAATTTCATCTGTTGGAAACCGAATCCTCAAATTCGTATGTTGATGATATTTATGGGTGGGACCTTTGGAGGGTCATTAGGATTAGATAATATTATCAGGGTAGGACCCTGTGATAGGATTGGAGGCTTTACAAGAAGAGGAATGGAGACCTGAGCTGATGTGCGTGCTCTTGTCCTCTCACCATGTGATGCCTTCCACCACGTTATGATGCAGCAAGAAGGCCCTCACCAGATGCCAGCACCATGCTCTTGGATTTCCCAGCATCCAGAACTATGAGCTAAATAAATGTCTTTTTTAAAAAAATAAATTATGCATTCTGTGGTGTTCAGTTATAATCACAGAAAATGAACTAAGACAGGGGGCAAAGGGTTTCTGGGGCATCAGTCTGTAGCCTGTGGCACAACTCCAGGCACAGACCAGGAGTGAATCCTCATTCTTCTCAGCAGGGAAACCAACCCCCCTGGCATCGGCTTCAACATCCCCTTTTCTTCTCGCCCCCACATCCCCCAATCAGCTACAGGCTACATCTATCAGTTCTACTGTTTAAACATCTCTGCAATGTGTGTGTGCCCTTCGACCCTCTACAAAGGGAAACAACAGAAACAGTGGGAGAGTTTTAAGAAGTGTGAGAAGAGACATGATTGGATCCTTTTCACTGTGAATTATATCACCGATAGAAAACTGCCTAAGACATAAAATCTAGTGTCATGAATACAGTGAGTCCTTACTTAATGCTGTCAATAGGTGTTTGAAAACTGACTTTAGGCCGGGCGTGGTGGCTCACGCCTGTAATCCCAGCACTTTGGGAGGCCAAGGTGGGTGGATCACCTGAGGTCAGGAGTTTGAGACCAGCCTGGCCAGTGGCCAATGTGATGAAACTCCGTATCCACTAAAAAAAAAAAAAAAAAAAAAAAAAAAAATAGCTGGGTGAAGTGGCAGGCACCTGTAATCCCAGCTACTTGGGAGGCTGAGGCAGGAGAATCACTTGAACCCAGGAGGTGGAGGTTGCAGTGAGTCAAGATCGCGCCATTGCACTCCAGCCTGGGTGACAAGAGCAAAGTTCCATCTCAGAAAAAAAAAAAAAAAAAGAAGACTGACTTTAAATGAAATGACATATAAGGAAACCACCTTTTTTTCTCATCAACATTATAATGAAATGATGACATTGATTGAAACGATGTTATTTGAGGACCTGATGTATGTCCTTTCATTTCAGACTGCAGTTTCCAAGAACCTAAAAGGACATTAAGTGAGGACTTACTGTACTTATAAAGCCAACACCCATGTAACCATCACCTAGGTCAAGGGTGAGCACTGCCAGCATCCCAGAAGCAGACACTTGCCACCCGCAAGTGACAAGTGTGTTCTTCCTGTCTCCTTAGACTTTTATGATAAATACTTTTATTTTCCTTTGTAGTTTTGATACGGCTCTGATGACTGGAGGAACTCCAGGGTTCTTGGTCTTGCTCCAATAGGATTAACAACACGAACATACGTGGAGTAGTTTTAAGGAGTGAAAAGTTTAATAGGCAAGAAAGAAGGAAGGAAGAAGAGAATAGCCCCCCCATACAGAGACAGAGGGGGGGGATTTGAACAAAGAGAAAACCCCCTGTTTAGGGTGAGGGTGGTGGGAAGTAGCTGCTTATATGAGGAGGCTGAGGAGGTGGTGTCTGATTTCCATAGGGCCCAGGGGATTGGTTTGACCAGGTGTGTCATTTACAAACCCCGCAAAACACCTGGCCTTCCCACCTTAGTCCTTTAATATGCAAATGTGGGTCGCTATGATGTTCTGAACACAAGGTGTTATCTGGAGGTGGCCACGACACTCGGTACACCTGGTGACAGGGAAAAGACAGCAGGAATCTCCATATGAGTGAACCCAGTTTCTAATGGCCAGCATTTGCATGTCAAGGTTTGCCAGCCTGGCCCTTTAAGCAGCCTTTTCTGTTAGAAAAGAGATGGTTTGGGGGCTTGTTTTTTATTGCAGGAAAATTTCCACCAAGAACCTTTACCCTTACTATCTGCCTAAAAATTATTTCTTAATAATTCCTGTATTAGTTTTACTAAGTATCCATTTTACCTATGCATGCAGACCTCTCTAGGTTGCCGTGTGGCTGGAGAAAGGATGGAAGAGAGAAGGGGAAGGTTTTCAGCAGCCTTCTGCCTTCCAGGGATGGAGACTGGACCCTTGGGGATCTGGCCAGGATTCCCTGGGCCTGACCAGTTGGCCCAGGTTTGGTCTCCTCTATGCCAATGACTCCTCACGGGAAGCAAGACTTTCATGAGTGCCGGATTTCAGGGTGCCATTCACTGCTGCAGCCCTCCCAACTTCCCCTGAGAAGGAGCAGGAGAGGTCAATTTTCTCATTTCAGTTGGGAAAATGCAGTTAGAGAAAACGAGAGACATCCAAGGCAACAAGGTCAGTAAATAGGAAAGGATCAGCCCTTTGAACTTAGCTGTATCTGGCTCAGTCCAGTCTTCTTCTTCTTCTTCCTTCTTCTTCCCTCTTCCCTCTTCCCTCTTCCCTCCTCCTCCTCCTCCTCCTCTTCCTTCTCCTTCTTCTTCTTCTTCTGACACAGTCTCACTCTGTGCCCCAGGCTGGAGTGCAGCAGCATGATCTTGGTGCACAGCAACCTTCATCTCCTGGATTCAAGCGATTCTCCTGCCTCAACCTCCTGAGTAGCTGGGATTACAGGTGCCCACCACCACATCCGACTAAGTTTTGTAATTTTAGTAGAGATGGGGATTCATCATGTTGGCCAGGCTGGTCTCTAACTCCTGATCTGAGGTGATCCACCTGCCTTGGCTCCCAAAGTCCTAGGATTACAGCCATGAGCCACTGCACCCAGCCTAGTCTAGCATTTTTTGTTTTGTTTTGTTTTTTTGAGACAGAGTCTCGCTGTGTTGCTCAGGCTGGAGTGCAGTGGCACGATCTCAGCTCACTGCAACCTCCGCCTCCCGGGTTCAAGCGAGGCTCCTGCCTCAGCCTCCTGAGTAGCTGGGATTACAGGTGCGCACCACCATGCCTGGGTAATTTTTGTATTTTTAGTACAGACTACTAAAAATACAAAACTCCTGACCTCAGGTGATCCACCTACTTCAGCCTCCTTAGTCCCGTGTTTTTATCTCTCCCTGTAGCAGAGTCCTGCACCCCTTCCCTCTGCAACCGGTGAGCCTGGTGTCAGGAAGAGAATGGTTTCGTGGAGCTGAGTCCAGTGCCCTCAGGGTGCGGAGGTGTAGGAGCTTGAACTGGCCACACGGTGGTGCCAAACACCAGGTCTTCGCATTTATGTTTCCCAGCCCTTCTGGGCGTCCCTGATGCCCTCAATAAACTCTGCCTGGTTCCCAGGGCACAGGGCTAAGGGCCTCCAAAGGGGAGGGGAGGGGAGGGGAGGGGAGGGGATACCCACCCTTCCCCCAGCCAGACCTTGCAGGGGAGGCAGGAGCGGGGCTGCGGAGGGCGCCTCAACTTTACCCAAACCCACCCCGCCTTTCGTTCTCCGTCTTCCTTCTCTCCCAAGCCAGAAACCTGTCCCCTCTTGCCTTGGGCCACCATCGCAGGGCCTCCTGAAGGCAGATTCTGGGGAGGGGAGGGGGAACAGGGAAAGCAGAAAGGTGGCTGGATGGCAAAGGGCAGCTGTCACCCCGGCTGGCCTGGGGTCCTCGGGGACTTAGAGTCTGGGCCCAGCCCATGCCTCCCCTCCTTTTCCCCTTCAGTGGCCTCCAGGCCTCTCTCCACATCGCCAGGCTGGAGTGCAGTGGCGCTATCTTGGCTCACTGCAACCTCCGCCTCCCGGGTTCAAGCGATTCTCCTGCTTCAGCCTCCCGAGTAGCTGGAACTACAGGCGCCCGCCACCACCCCCGGCTAATTTTTGTATTTTTAGTAGAGATGGGGTTTCACCATATTAGCCAGGATGGTCTCGATCTCTTGACCTTGTGATCTGCCCGCCTCGGCCTCCCAAAGTGCTGGGATTACAGGCGTGAGTCACCGCGCCTGGTCCCCTGTCTTCTTTAAGAAAGCTCAGCGGACCTTTTTCCTTCTTGGGGTGGAACAAAAAGCCAAATCTAGCACAACCCTGGGCAGGGGCCCAGAATCACTGGAAGCAAAGGTGGATGGGATAGGAGGCGAGGCTGCCTGTGGACCACAGGCCCGGCCCGAGTGGCTCTGATGAGAAGCCGGGGCGCCTAGGTCACCGCCCCCACCGTCTGCCCTTCCCCCCACTCCTCCTGGCTGGGTAAATCCCAGAGTCTCAGCCGCCTAAGTGTCTTCCCCGGAGGTGAGATTATCTCCGCCTGTGCTGGACACCTCCCTTTCTCCTGCAGCCATGGATGCCGCTCTGCTCCTGAACGTGGAAGGGGTCAAGAAAACCATTCTGCACGGGGGCACGGGCGAGCTCCCAAACTTCATCACCGGATCCCGAGTGAGTGGGGCCCCTCCGGAGCAGACAGGGTCCCCCACAGCAGCTTTCAACATTCCAGGTGTGCCCCAAGGCACTGTAAACAGCTTTCAGCTGTGCCAAAAAAACAGCCAGGCAGCCCCAGCGCTGGGCCTCCGGGGAGCTCCCAGCGTTTACCCATTCAGGGGGCATTTTTGGTACTTTGCAGATTCAACTTTAGCATGGGCTGAGGGGAAGGGCTTTTGGGAATTTTCTGGGGCCCTAAATGTTGAGTGAGAAGAAAGGGAGTCCGAGGAGTCTTGGTATTTGTCCCCAAATGTCTGTTAGGCTTCCCTGGACTGAAGGGTGCGTCTGTGGCTACAGAATTCGGGCTTTGGCCAGGCGAGGCGGCTCCCGCCTGTAATCCCAGCACTTTGGGAGGCCAAGATGGGCAGATCATGAGGTCAAGAGTTCGAGACCAGCCTGACCAACATGTGAAACCCCATCTCTACTGAAAATACAAAAATTAGCCAGATGTGCTGGGCGCCTGTAATCCCAGTTCAGATACTCAGGAGACTGAGGCAGGAGAATCACTTGAGCCCAGGAGGTGGAGGTTGCAGTGAGCCGAGATCATACCACTGCACTCCAACCTGGGCAACAGAGTGAGACTCTGTCTCAGAAAAAAAAAAAAAAAAAAGAACTCGGGCTTACTTGAGGAAGGATTTCTGGACGCACAGGGCTGTGGGGAGTGGAATGGGGTCTGTAGGGAGGGGTGGGTCCCTCCTCCCTGGGGGGTGCAGGCAGGGTGGAGGTGCTCCAGGGGTCTGAGGCATCTGATGGGGTGAACTGAGTGAGCTGACCCTGGGGACAGCCCTGGGTGTCGGTGGCAAGGGGGTGGCTTCTGCCGGGCCTTGAACAGTGTGTCTAGAGCAGAGTGCACCGTCTCGGTGACTAGGTGATCTTTCATTTCCGCACCATGAAATGTGATGAGGAGCGGACAGTCATTGACGACAGTCGGCAGGTGGGCCAGCCCATGCACATCATCATCGGAAACATGTTCAAGCTCGAGGTCTGGGAGATCCTGCTTACCTCCATGCGGGTGCACGAGGTGGCCGAGTTCTGGTGCGACACCATCGTAAGTAGGCCCTGCGCGCCTGTCTCCTGGGACTAGTCTTTTCTGGGCTCACCCACCCGCTTTGCGGGGCTGCTGTGTTTCGGGAAAGCTGGGACTCAAGCGAAGCTTTGCAAAGCCAGTCCTGCAAACTTATTCCCCACCGCTGTGCATGTGAAGATGGAGGGAACAAGGGCTGGAAGGGGTGACCCATGCTGTGGCTGGCTGGTGGGGAGCAGGGCTATGACCAGCAGGAGTGAGCTGGCCCACTTCACAGTCCTCACATCTGTGTGTGTGTGTGTGTGTGTGTGTGTGTGTGTGTGTGTGTGTGAGAGAGAGAGAGAGAGAGAGAGAGATAGGGTCTCGCTCTGTCACCCAGGCTGGAGTGCAGTAGCGTAATTATGGCTCACTGCAGCCTCAACTTCCCGGGCTCAGGTGATCCTCCCACTTCAGCCTTCCAAGTAGTTGGGACTACAGGTGCACCACCACACCTCATTTTTGTATTTTTTGTAGAGACAGAGTTTTGCCACGTTGGCCAGGCTAGTCCTAAACTCTTGGGCTTAAGCAATCCTCCTGTCTCGGCCTCCCAGAGTGCTGGAATTATAGGCATGAGCCATCTTGCCCGGCTAAGTCCTTGCTTTTTATACAGCATGATTAGATCTGGAGATTTTATACAGCATGATTAGAGCAGCACTGGTCACTTTTTTGCCCTCCTCCTCACATTGCAAGTTTGCCCTCCTATTTATGGCACTCCGTAAATTACTCCTATAAGTTAGCTTCCTTGCCTTATGGCAAAACTCACTGACCTTTAGGCAACGTTTCTTATGGGAACTTTCAAACATATACAAAAGTCAGCAGAAAGAATAATGAACTTACGAGTACCTGTCACCCAGTGCCGGCCACCATCAACCCGCGGCTGGTCTTGCTTCATCTCCCAACCCACCCACTTCCCTTCCTTGTCCTGCGTGGTTAAACCAAATGCCAGACACCATATCATTTCATCTGTAAATACTAAAATTTGTATCTCTAAAATATGAGGATATCCCAGCACTTTGGGAGACTGAGGCGGGCAGATCACGAGGTCAGGAGTTGGAGACCAGCCTGACCAACATGGTGAAACCCCGTCTCTACCAAAAATACAAAAATTAGCTGGGCGTGGTGGCACATGCCTGTAATCCCAGCTACTCAGGAGGCTGAGGCAGGAGAATCACTTGAACCCGGGAGGCAGAGGTTGCAGTGAGCTAAGATCATGCCACTGAACTCCAGTCTGGCGACAGAGTGAGACTCCATCTTAAAAAAAAAAAAAGAGGATATTAAAGAAACTTTACCATTGTACCATTATGAAATCTTTTAAAAACTCCAGTAATTCCTTAAAGCCGTCTAATATCCAGTCACTGTTGAATTTTCTTTGGTTGACTCCTTTTATTCTTTATAAATGAATGAGTTTGGTTTGTTTAAATCAACAACCGAACAAACAAAGTCTCTGCATAGCGCTTTGTTGATGCGTCTCTCAAGTGCCTTTTTATCTATAGGTCTACTTCCTTCTTTTCTTTCTTTCTTTTTTTTTTTGAGACGGAGTCTTGCTCTGTAGCCAGGCTGGAGTGCAGTAGCGTGATCTTGGCTCACTGCAACCTTGGCCTCCCGGGTTCAAGTGATTCTCCTGCCTCAGCCTCCCACGACTACAGGTGCCCGCCACCACGCCTGGGTAATTTTTTGTATTTTAGTACAGACAGGGTTTCACCATGTTGATCAGAATGGTCTTGATCTCTTGACCTTGTGATCCGCCCGCCTCTGCCTCCTAAAGTGCTGGGATTACAGGCCTGAGCCACCACGCTCGGCCTCCTTCTTTTCTTCTTTTCTTCCTTGACATGGAAGTGTTGAAGGAACTGGGTCATTTATCCTGTAGAAGTCCCACATTCTGATTTTCCTGGTTCCTTCGCCATGGAATTGTCTAACATGCTCCTCTATTCCCCACATTTTTGATAAATTGAAAGTGGGGTCTAGAGGGCCTGATAAGATTCAGATTCTTCTCTCTCTCTTTCTCTCTTTTTCAAAAGTCTGCCATGGATGTACCATATACTTCCCTTTGGGAGACGTACATCACACTTGGTTGTCTCTTTTACAGTGATGTTAAGAGTGATTGGTGGGTTTAGGTGTTGACAGCCTGATCCATCCATTCCAAAGCTCCCCCTAGACTTTCACCATTGGTGGCAGATACCCAGACTCATTATTTCATCAGAGGCCACTGACCTTTTAAATGAGCATTTTGGGGACAATTTGAACTCTGTTCTGTCTTTCATTAGTTGTGTGACCTGGGGTAGTCCCGTCTTCTGTCTGCTACTCTATTCCTTCATTTATAAATAAACAAAACTCTAAGTTAAGGGGTTGTTTTGGAGATTACATGATATAACATATGAGGGTGGATCATAATACAGGGCAATTAAAAATGAGAGCTATTATTTTGAGCTAGAATTTTTTTTTTTTTCTGAGATGGAGTTTCACTCTGTCATCCAGGCTGGAGTGTACTGGCACGATCTTGGCTCACCGGAACCTCTGCCTCCCAGGTTCAAATGATTCTCCTGCTTCAGCCTCCTGAGTAGCTGGGGATTACAGGTGCCTGCCACCACACCTGGCTTTTTTTTTTTTTTCAGTATTTTTAGTAGAGACAGGTTTTCATCATGTTGGACCAAGCTGGTCTCGAACTCTTGACCTCAAGTGATCTGCCTGCCTCGGCCTCCCAAAGTGTTGGGATTACAGGCGTGAGCCACCATGTCCAGCCTAGAAAAAATTTGAGATTAACTTCTTCACTTTACTGATGGGAAACTTAAGACTCCAAAAGGGAAAATAACTTGCAATGGCTCAGACAAGTTAAGGGAAAAGATCTGGGTGAGATGCCTGGTTCCCTCTTCATCCTACACACATTTCTTGCAGTGTCTAATAGAGCTGGGCTGCAGTGCCATCCTCTGCCAGTAGGTGATCCCACTCAACATGTTATCCATTTATTCATTCATGTAGCAAATATATGTTGAACATCTTTCCTTTGTAGCAGTCCCTGTGTTTTTCTTCATTCTGATGTTTTTATCTTAAAATCTGTTTTATTTTTTATCAAGTCAAGCCTTCAAAAATTGGCTTCTTTGTGATTTCAGTTAGTTTAAAAATATATCTATTGACTTTGCTTAGAGTGAGGGGCTCCTGTACTTTAATTCATGCCATTTGTGAGGCAAGGCTGCCACTAAGAGCCCCCTCTCCATAAGATACACGTTTGCTAACACATGACAGCTGAGTGCATAGAAGGCTGTCAATAAATTCTTGATTAGTTGATTGATTTGTTGTTTGCAAAACCACAAGCTGTTGTCATTCCCATAATGTGGGCATGGCTCTTTGTTTCCTGTGGAGTCTGTGTTCCTTTTTCCATGTTGATAGTCACATGAGTGCATTGCCCATATCACAGGCTGGTAACTGTTTTTTTTTTTTTTTTTTTTTTTTGAGACGGACTTTCGCTCTTGTTGCCCAGGCTGGAGTGCAATGGTGTGGGATTGGCTCACTGCAACCTCTGCCTCCCGGGTTCAAGCGATTCTCCTGCCTCAGCCTCCTGAGTAGCTGGAATTATAGGTGCTCACCACCACACCGGGCCAATTTTTGTATTTTTAGTAGAGATGGGATTTCAACATGTTGGCCAGGCTGGTCTGGAACTCCTGACCTCAGGTGAGCCACTGGCCTTGACCTCCCAAAGTGCCGGGATTACAGGCATGAGCCACTGCTCCCCATGGTAACTATGGGTTTTCCTAATCTCCATGCCCCGCACATCTCCTCACCCCAGCCCATGGCTGCCGTGATTGTGTGCATGTACGCATGCACACACACACACACACACACACACACACACACACACACACACCCCTTCTAGAGTTAGTTCTTCACCTGCACATCCACCTCTTATCCATCTACCCACCTGCCCGGGCATCATTTCATCCATTCTTCCCTTCAACCAATCTTCATTCATAATCCAGTCTTCCGTCACTATGCATGCATCCATCATCTTCTATCTATCTCCTATCATTCGTGTATCTATTATCTATCTATCTATCTATCTATCTATCTATCTATCTATCTATCTACCTACCTACCTACCTACCTACCTATCTAGTTAGAAAACATTCACTGGGCACCTGATTTGGCCTGTGCTGTATGTTAGGAGTGAAACAGGCAAAGCCCCTAGCCCTTAGGGAACTTGAATTCTGCAGGAGGAGCAGACACCTAAACAATTGTAATGCAGGGCAGCCAGTGCCAGGACATAAATAAGTGAGGGCAGTGTGCTTTGGGGCCACAAAAGCACGCTCAGCTTGCTGGGAGCCATGGGGTGCCGAGCTGGGGGCTGCTGAGTCAGGGCCAAAGGTGGCCCCTCCCTGCAGTAAGCTGGTTCTGGGGCCTCTCCCTCCCTTGGTCCAGCTCTAATCCCAACAGGCTCAACAGCCATCTGCTTGTCTCTTCCATAAAGAGGCAGAAGGCATTTCGGGCTAATCCCGGCCGGTGGGGCGGGCAGGGTGACCTCTGTCTCTGTGCTGGTGACCTGGAGGCAGAGCTGAACTGCTGCATAGAGTTTCAGCCCCTTCACTTCACATGTTGCATGTGGGGCCAGTGCTGGGTCATCTCAGAAGCCGGTCCAAGGAGATGGGTTCTCAGGGAGCCTAGTTGGGGAAACTGAGGCCCAGCATACATACAGCAGGCCTCGCTGAGGCCGCACGGCGGATCTTCCCAGCCCTCCTTCATCCCAAGGGTGGCAAACTCAGCTCCCATGCTGGCTGAAGCTGTGATGAGCCAGATCTATATCTGCACCATCTCATTTAATCCCTACAGCAGCCCTAATATCGAACAGGAGCAACCCAGGGAACTGAGTTTCAGAGAAGTGCAGAGACCTGGGCTCACCGCTAACCTGCAGCACTGCCAGGACACCAAAGCGACTCTCTTGGACCCTGGAGTCCTGCTCCTTCTACTGCCCCACACTGCCCTTCCTGCGAGTCATAGGCTTTGCAGAGGTCAGGGTTTCCCTGGGGCAGAGATGTGTTACAGTGGACCACAAGGGCCAGAAGAGGCAGCCGGAGGCTAACAGCATATGGCCTCTGGAGCCAGGTTTGAATCCTGGCTGCGTCATTTCCTAGCTGTGTGACCTTAAGCAAGTTGCTTTGCGTCTCTGGGCTGTAGTTTCCCCATCCGTAAAATGGGGATAATAGTGCCTGCCTTGAATTGTCATAAGGATTGAAGGGGCTCATAACAGTGTGAAGTGCTTTGCCTGGCACACAGTTAACCACAGTTAGTATGAGTGGCATAGTGAGGGAGCAGGATTCCTCCCAGGAGGGGCTCTGAGTGGAGGCCTTTTATGGCCCACCTAGCTCTGGGCAGGTAGCCTGGATGCCATCCATCCGTTTATCCCCACAGCACACGGGGGTCTACCCCATCCTATCCCGGAGCCTGAGGCAGATGGCCCAGGGCAAGGACCCCACAGAGTGGCACGTGCACACGTGCGGGCTGGCCAACATGTTCGCCTACCACACGCTGGGCTACGAGGACCTGGACGAGCTGCAGAAGGAGCCTCAGCCTCTGGTCTTTGTGATCGAGCTGCTGCAGGTGGGGCTGGGGTTGGCAGGGCTGGAGGGCTGTGCCAGCACTGGAGAGGGACAGCGGGCATCATGGGCACCCCCACCCCACTGGCCACTGGACAGTGCCCTGTTTCTGTTTAGATAATACGAGAGGGTTCATAAGCCATGGGAGAATACGAATTTGAAAAAAAAGTCCTCTGATTTTTCCACAAGAAAAGTCCTTTGGTGCTGGGCATGGTGGCCCACGCCTGTAATCCTAGCACTTTGGGAGGCCGAGGGGGTTGGATCACCTGAGGTCAGGAGTTCGAGACCAGCCTGGCCAACATGGTAAAACCCCGTCTCTATTAAAAACACAAAAATTAACCGGGTGTGGTGGTGCATGCCTGTAATCAATCCCAGCTACTTGGGAATTTGAGGCATGAGAATTGCTTGAACCTGGGAAGTGGAGGTTGCAGTGAGCAGAGATCATGTCAGTGCATTTTAACCTGGGTGACAGAGTGAGACTCCATGTCCAAAAAAAAGAAAAAAAAAAAAAGTCCACTTGGAACCAGTTTTTAAAAATGTGATTCATTTTCATTGTGGAGGCATTTTATCCACTTCCACTTTCATTTTCAGGAGTTGGAGATTATAACCGCCTCCTTGGTTCCTGTGGTTTGTGGGTTCAGACTTGGTTCTCTAGTGGCGGGAGAGGCTGCATGGAACTCCCCACATCCTCCCAACCAGAGCCCCAGAGTGATTGGCAGCGCGTGTTTGTGGATTGGTGAGAGAGGGTTAGGGCCAGGGTCAAGGTCAGGTCAGGACTCAGCTTATGGCCAAGACTGAGGCTCAGCCTGAGAGCTATGTGGGTGAATAAAAATAAAATAAGAACTGTGTCAACCAAGGGCCCTTACAGGCTTGCTGTCACAGTTGTGTGGTCTGTGCACTGCACAAGGTGCACCGGCATCTCCTCCAAGGTGCTCATTATAGACATTGTATATTGGTATTTCCATAATGAGAAGTTTCCAGCAGATGGCAATAGTGTATTGTTCTAACAAAACGAGTATTCGTGACAATTTTCTGAATATTAGAAGTGAAGTGTCTTGATGAACGGGCACCTTTTCCTAGTTTGCACAAAGACATTGATTTAGGGCAGGGTTTTCGGCGTTGTTGCTTCTTTCCCTTGTCTGTATGCACTTGACCAGCAAGCATGACTTCAGGGAGATGTGCCACAGGGTCCTGTTTTTCGGGTCTCTGATGGGGTGCAGGCCCCTGGGGTCCCTGCCTCACTGACCTGCAGCTCTGGGGCCAGGTTGATGCCCCGAGTGATTACCAGAGGGAGACCTGGAACCTGAGCAATCATGAGAAGATGAAGGCGGTGCCCGTCCTCCACGGAGAGGGAAATCGGCTCTTCAAGCTGGGCCGCTACGAGGAGGCCTCTTCCAAGTACCAGGAGGCCATCATCTGCCTAAGGAACCTGCAGACCAAGGTCAGAGGCCGCTGGCCAGGGGTGGGAAGTGGCGCTGACTCTGGGGGGCCTGCCCAGTGCCGGCCAGGGTGGGGCGGGGGTTGGGCAGCTGCCTGAGGTCATGGCTGACCTTCTCCCTGGGCAGGAGAAGCCATGGGAGGTGCAGTGGCTGAAGCTGGAGAAGATGATCAATACTCTGATCCTCAACTACTGCCAGTGCCTGCTGAAGAAGGAGGAGTACTATGAGGTGCTGGAGCACACCAGTGATATTCTCCGGCACCACCCAGGTGCGCGGGGCTGCAGGGGCGGACAGTGAGGGGGCGCCCAGCCCAGGGCCACGGAGACACCTGCCATAGCCTTCCTGGACTTTTCTTTCCACCCCACCAGGGCACCAAACCTTGTCTCCACCCAGCCGGGTTTCCCCGAGTGTGTAACTGAATTGTGGGTGATGGATGGGCAGTGCTTGGCGCGGGGCGGCCCTTTATTTTAATGTGTGTTTGAACACTTACCCAGGAAGCTCGCCAAGCTTGTGATTTCAGCGGAACGGTAAACAGGCGTTTAAAAAAGAGGGGCAATCAATATAGGGAAAAATATTATGATGTCGGTACTAGTACTGGTGTTGCGAGGATATGGCACCGTCAGTACTAGTATTGACTTAATGCTCGAATCGTGCTCACAGTAAAAACATCCAGCCCCTGGCTCATGCATCAGGCACACGTCGTCTGCGTTTATTATCTCATTTAATCCTCATAATCCTCATAATCACCATATGAGGGAGGTGCAGGGAAAGGGCCTGAAGGTTATCTAATTTAGGTAGCGTCTATAAGAAAAATAAAACAAAGTTATGAATATAAAATTACTCACAGGGCCTTAAAAAGGAGAGGAGGAGGTACTGCTATTATGATCATCATCTCCATCTTACAGTTGAGGAAACCGAGGGATGGGGGATACAGAGAGGTTAAGGATCATGGCGGGGCTGAGGGTCTTGGAGGCTGGTGAGTCCCAGCTGGGCTGGGGCTGCCTCTGAGGCTGGGAAGGGAGCTGTAGCTGGATGCTCCCTGCTCCCCACAGGCATCGTGAAGGCCTACTACGTGCGTGCCCGGGCTCACGCAGAGGTGTGGAATGAGGCCGAGGCCAAGGCGGACCTCCAGAAAGTGCTGGAGCTGGAGCCGTCCATGCAGAAGGCGGTGCGCAGGGAGCTGAGGCTGCTGGAGAACCGCATGGCGGAGAAGCAGGAGGAGGAGCGGCTGCGCTGCCGGAACATGCTGAGCCAGGGTGCCACGCAGCCTCCCGCAGAGCCACCCACAGAGCCACCCGCACAGTCATCCACAGAGCCACCTGCAGAGCCACCCACAGCACCATCTGCAGAGCTGTCCGCAGGGCCCCCTGCAGAGCCAGCCACAGAGCCACCCCCGTCCCCAGGGCACTCGCTGCAGCACTGAGCCCCCTGAGGCCCACAGCCACCCAGGCAGGGAGCAAGTGGCCTGGTCACTTCTGGTTCGATTGACCAGGATCGTGGTGTCACTTTTTAAAATTTAAAATTAATTTTTGAAATCAAAGTCAGACACACCCATGGTAAAAAAAAAAAAAAAAACAATCCCAAGGGTACAGAAGAGCTTATGAATAAAAGTAGTTTTCTCCTCTACCCCTCTCATTCCTTCCGTGCCATGGTTTTAATTGACCCTGTTTTTAATTCTTCTGGTAGTTTTCTCTATTTCCAAGTAATCTGTTTAAATCAGTTTCTAGATTTTACCCCATGTCAATGACAAATGAGGATTTGATGCTCTGATCCTTTCTCATGCCTGATACCCCTCCCTGTCTCCCCATTTTGGATAGTTACATTTGGGGGTCATCTCGGTGATTTTTGTAACTTTACGCAGGACACTTAGAGCTCTCTAGAATCCCACTGACTTTAGTGGGTCTTGATGTAGGGTGGGCAAGCCCCGACACTGGAGCTTAGCCTGAGAGGGTTCTTGGCCTCCCCCAGGAAAGATTTCAAAGGCAAGCGCCAGTGGTAGGGTAGAAGAAAACAGCTGTGGTCGGGCACGGTGGCTCACGCCTATAATCCCAGCACTTTGGGAGGCCGAGGCGGGTGGATCACCTGAGGTCAGGAGTTCCAGACCAGCCTGGCCAACATGGTGAAACCTCATCTCTACTAAAAATACAAAAAAACTAGCTGGGCGTGGTGGCGGGCGCCTATAATCCCAGCTACTTGGGAGGCTGAGGCAGGAGAATTGATTGAACCTGGGAGGCGGAGGTTGCAGTGAGCCAAGATCACGTCATTGCACTCCAGCCTGGTCAACAAGAGTAAAACTTCATCTCAAAAAACAAAACAAAACAAAAACAACAACAAAAAACAAAAGAAAAACAAACAAAACCAAAACCAAAACAGCTGTATTGAAGCTGCAGTGTTGCAGCTCTGTGACTGCCCTGCAGAGCAGGGCTACCCCATAGGCAGCGAGCAGCAGCTCAGGGCAGTTCTGCAGTCAGATTTATACCCACTTTTAATTACATGTAGATTAAGGAGCTGCATATACAAAGATTTCTAGGGAAGGAGTAGTAACTTCTGGGTCCTGGGGTCTTTGCCACGGAACAGGGCAGTATGCCAGGGTGTTGCCACGGCAATGGTAAACTGACATGGCACCCTGGGGGTCATGCCTTAGGGAAAGCCGCTTCCACTCGCCCCTGTTTTAGCTCATCTTCAAGTTAGTCTGGTGTCCAAGCTCCACCGCCTGCCTCAGTCTGGTGACCTCCTTCTGTGTCTGATGAGCATGGCAGCGTTGGGACCTTCCCCTTCCAACTCTCTCCCTCCTCTTCGTCCTCCCTAAAGGACGGGTACGAGGAGGGGCTATCACGCCAGCGACATCCTCTAGCACCACCCAGGTGTGTGGGGTGGGGCAGGGGGGCGACGAAGTATCCAGCCCAGGGCCACGTAGTCAACTGCCAAGGGCTTCCTGGGCTTCTCTTCTGCCCCAGAGCTTGTCTCCACCCAGCAGGGGTTCCCCCAGCGCTAACTGTATCCCTAAAGTTCTGATGTACTTTACTTTTCCATCTTCCTTGTTGTTAACATCTACCTTCTGCTCTGTAAGCAAAACTAAATCTTCTGTGCTTTGTCCATAGGTTGATTCTACAATCTGAAAATCAATAAACAGCATTTGCATGATTGTGGCTGTGTAGGTGTGTTTCCCCACAGGGCCCAGCGCAATGCTTCCACTGCATTGCTTTCTCTGTGGTTCCAATTTCGTGACCCCTGGGACACCAGAATGAGGATATTTCTGGCATCTGGAGTGATAATGTACATTTTAACATGGCAGTGTTTTATGTTTTTCTTCTCTTCTCCTCTTCCTTTTTTCTTTTTCATTTTTTTTTTGAGATGGAGTCTCACTCTGTTGCCCAGGCTGGAATGCACTGGCTTGATCTCGGCTCACTGCAACCTCCAACCTCCACCTCCCAGGTTCAAGCAATTCTCGTGCCTCAGCCTCCTGAGTAGCTGGGATTACAGGTGTGTGCCACTGTGCCTGGCTAATTTTTTGTATTTTTAGTAGAGACGGGGTTTCACCATGTTGGCCAGCTGCTCTCGAACTCCTGACCTCTGGTGATCTGCCCACCTCGGCCTCCCAAAGTGTTGGGATTACAGGCGTGAGCCACCGCGCCCGGCCTCTTCTTCCTTTTTTCTTGCAGTACTAGAAGGTTTGATGTGTAAGCCTTCCCACCCTTGAAGAAAAGGGGTTTCAATTTTTGGATGATTAGGCTCAGTAGTCCAGTGGGCCATAGTATGAAGGAACCACGTGAGAGAGGAGATTTTAGAAGAGGTCAGAGGAAGGGGATGTTATGGCCTGCAGAGGGAGCAAGGCAGGTGTGTCCTGAGGCCAAAGCGAGTGCCTCGAACTGCAGAAGGTGGAACAGGGAGGGAGGCTGGGGCCAGAGAGCCAAGGGGACCTTCACTGCTGCCTCCTGGCAGCGCTGCCTACGGGGAAAGGCCTGGATGTTGTCTGGGCAGCCAGAGTCGAGTGTGGCTCAGAAACAGATGAGGGGCCTGGCAAGGGGCATTACTTCGGGGCCAGGGACTGTGGCTCGCAGACTTCCCAGTCTCCTTTGCCCTGTCCATTGTCTGAATGTAGCTATCCTACCAGCTACCCTTTCTTTTGGGGACAACGAGCAGCGAGGGTGCCCCCCTCATTTGTGGTGAGAACGTGGCCTGTGGGCTCCCTGGCTGGACAGAGGCCCGAATGCAGCCTATGCTCGGGCTTGGTCCTGTCCGGCTCATCCCGTGTGGACAGCTCCCCTTCTGATGCCTCTGGATGTCTGAAAACAGGAAAAAGGGGATAGGGACCAGGAAGCCCATAGCATGTGGTGGAGATACCCTGGAGAGAGGGTGCACAGGGACCCTTGTCCTATTGTTACAATCCTCTGAAGGCAGAGGCTGGGCCAGTAGAACCACTGTTCAGAAACTGCCGCATCCCACACCCCATCTTCCTAGTGCAGAGGAGGCGGGAGGCAGACATGGGGAGAGATGCAGGCAGCCTCCCATCCAGGGCTCTGGTTGCTGCATGGGCTTCCTTCTGCTCCCTGAAAACCAACCTAAAGGAAGGGCGTGGCTGGTCAGGTCTGGGCGGGCAGTTGCAATAGTTTGCAGGGCCTCTCTTCCAAGGGCTTCTTTCCCGGAGATCCAGCCGGAAGGCTTTGTTTTCAAGTTGCCAGCAGGTGGCAGCAGAGACCAAGCAGACGGGTCCCCAGGGTAGGAGATGGCCGCTTTGGGCTCCGGATGTGGCGGTTCTCCATCAGCCCTGACCATCCCTGACGCTGCAGGTCACAAGGTCAGGCAAGCTGATGACAGGAAAGGAGGCATTTAGAACTATGGAATGAGGCTGCCAGCAAACTAGGTCCTTGGAGGCAACTCAGTCCCAACCCCTTGTACAGATGGGGAAACTGAGGCTTAGAGAGGGGCAGTAGCTCCAGGATTAGCATCAGGTTTCCAGGAGTCTGGGCTGGGGCTTTCTTTTCTTTTCTTTTCTTTTCTTTTCTTTTCTTTTCTTTTCTTTTCTTTTTTTTCTTTTCTTTTCTTTTCTATACTGTGCTGCCTCCTTCACTGGATGCTTCGTATGTGGGTATGATGCATTTTTTTTTAAAAAAGGAGAGAATGTGAAACTTCTATCAGGCAGCAACCTGCGGCAATGCCAATAGCCTTTGTTTGGGAGCAGTTGGAAGGGTCAGCACGAAACGACCTTGTGTGGGTTTTGAAGCCCCCTTTGGCCTGGCACGTCCTCAGGAATCATTACTAGTTAACCAAACCAAGGCATTTGCTCCCAGGCAGGAGCCACCATACTGACCTCTGGAGTTGACAGACACCCTGAGACCAGGGAGTCCTTTGGGTCAGCAGTAAGGGGCTGAGTGGCCCGAGGGACACCCCCTTCCTCGGGTATTGTGCAGGGGCAATAGTTTCCCATGGTGGATGCAGCAAATTACCACAAACTTAATGGCTTAAAACAACACACACGTATTCTCTTATAGTTCCAGAGGTCAGGGATTCTAAAACGGGTTGGCAGGCAGGGCTGTGTTCTTTCCAGAGGCCGGAGGAGAGAGTCCATTTTCTTTCCTGCCTATTTCAGCTTTTAGAGGCTGCCTGTATTCCTTGCCTTGTGGCCCCTTCAAAGGCAGCAATGGAGCATCTTCCACTCTGCGTCCCTCTGCTTCCGTCACCATGAGGCTTCTGCGGGTCCCTGACCCTCCTGTCTCCCTCTTATAAGGACCCTTGTGCTTACATTGCCCCCACCTGCCAGGTAATCCAGGCTCACCTCCCCACCTCAAGGCCCTTAATGTAATAATCACAGCTGCAAAATTCCTTTGCCTTAGAAAGTAACCTGCTGGGCGCGGTGGCTCACGCCTGTAATCCCAGCACTTTGGGAGGCTTAGGTGGGTGGATCTCTTGAGGTCAGGAAATCGAGACCAGCCTGACCAACATGGTGAAACCCTGTCTCTACTAAAAATACAAAAATTAGCTGGGGGTGGTGGCACGTGCCTGTAAATCCAGCTACTGGGGAGGCTGAGGCAGGAGAATTGCTTGAACCCGGGAGGCGGAGGTTGCAGTGAGTCGAGATTGTGCCATTGCACTCCAGCCTGGGTGAAGAAGCAAGACTCCGTCTCAAAAAAAAAAAAAAAAAAGTAACCTATCCACAGGCTCTGGGGATTCAAATGTGGGCATCTTTCAGGGGGTTCATTATACTGCCGCTTAGTCTCTGTGGGTCTCCGATCTGTCCTCTGCCTCGCTGGTGGGTGCCCTAGAGGCTCAGCCTACATATGTCCCGGCTCCCGTGCCCTCTGCCTTCCCGTTGGGTTTGGCCGGCAGGAGGCAGCAGCAGGAGACCTGCTTGCGGGAGGAGGGCACTGGGCTGTTTGCTTTTCTGATTCCCTCCTCGCTGGGCTGCAGTCTGGCAGGGGTTGCGCTCTTTACCTGTGGTCACAGCAGGTGTCCCCGGCCACGGCTCTCACTGGTCTCCAAGCAGTGCCTCCCCAGGTCCTGCAGCCTCAGCACAGCAATGGCTTCCCACCCCTGCTCGTTCTTGCTAGCTCCCCCCATTCCTTACTGGCTTCTCAATCCCTCCCGCATCTTCATTCTGCTTCTGTGGCTACTCTGTTTGCATAAGCCACCTGTTGGCTGCCAAGACCCTGCCTGAGCAGGTATCACATCTCCACCAGGATGCAGGGAGCAGAGGAGAGCCGAGGAGGCTGAGAACACACACAGTGTCTCCAGCTCCTCAGGGGTGTGGGCAGAATTTGAACTTAAGCCCAGATGCCACAAATGGGTATTAGAGCTGGCATTTTCCAGCCCCTGGGACACGGCTGCCTCCCACAGCCTCAGTTGATGCCCTCCATGGCAGGGCCACCTGCTGGGAGAAGGTCTAACCAGAAGTGACATCTAAGGGCCTGGCCTGCATCTGGAGTTGCAAACGTGGCAAAGGAATACAGCACAGGTGCAGGTGTTGCTTGTCCTGGGGCCAAGGCGCCTCCCTGTCTGTGAGAAATGGCCAGGCAACCTCAGTCAGATTTTTTTTTTCTTTTTTAAAAAATTTTACTTTAAATTCTGGGATACATGTGCAGAATGTGCAGGTTTGTTACACAGGTATACATTACATGTGCCGTGGTAGTTTGCTGCTCCTATCAACCTGTCATTTAGGTTTTAAGGCCCGCATGCATTAGGTATTTCTCCTAATGCTCTCCCACCCCTTTCCCCCCATCCCCTGACAGGCCCTGATATGTGATGTTCCCCTCCCTGTGTCCATGTATTCTCATTTTACTTTCTCTCTTTCTTTTTTATTTTTTTGGAAACGGAGTCTCACTCTGTTGCCAGGCGGGAGTGCAGTGGCGTAATCCCGGCTCACTGCAACCTCCGCCTCCCGGGTTCAAGTGATTCTCCTGCCTCAGCCTCCTGAGTAGCTGAGATTATAGGCACGTGCCACCATGCCCGGCTAATTTTTATATTTTTAGTAGAGACAGGGTTTCACCATGTTGGCCAGGATGGTCTTGATCTCTTGATCTTGTGATCCACCCGCCTTGGCCTCCCAAAGCGCTGGGATTACAAGTGTGAGCCACCACGCCCAGCCCATGTATTCTCATTTTTCAACTCCCACTTATAAGTGAGAACATTCAGTGTTTGGTTTTCTGTTCCTGTGTTAGTTTGCTGAGAATGATGTTTTCCAGCTTCATTCATGTCCCTGCGAAGGATATGAACTCATTTTTTATGGCTGCATAGTATTCCATGGTGTGTATGTGCCACATTTCCTTCATCTAGTCTAGATGGGCATTTGGGCCGGCTCCAAGTCTTTGCTATTGTAAATAGTGCTGCAATAAACCTAAGTGTGCATGTGTCTTTATAGTAGAGTGATTGATAATCCTTTGGGTATATACCCAGTAATGGGATTGCTGGGTCATCAGTCATATTTAACTTAGCAAACAGTTCAACTTTCACCAGTGTGGCTCTGCAGGAGGCTTGGTGCAAGCCCTGGGAAGTAACAGCAGCACCTCTTTGTGAGTGCCACCTCCCCACCTCAAGTGGTCATCATTGGCTCCATTTGGCAAAGGAGTCTCAGCTTAGGGAGGAATATGGGCTGCCTGGCTCACAGCTGCAAGTGGCTGAGCCCAGAGTTGATGCACATGAGTTGGATGCAAGCTTGGGATCCTTCCACCTGTAGATCACCAATAAGTGATGAGATTGAAGATGACTTGAACTAACTAGATCGGAGCATGGCGCTCTAGTTAGATCTAGTTTTTCTTACAGGGGGTTGGGGGGAACTCAAGGAAACCCTTTCCTCAGGGCTTTATTTTTTTTAAATTTTATTTTATTATTATTATTTTTTGAGATGGAGTTTCGCTCTTGTTGCCCAGGCTGGAGTGCAATGGTGCCGTCTTGGCTCACTGCAACCTCCGCCTCCCGGGTTCAAGCGATTCTCCTGCCTCAGCCTCCAGAGTAGCTGGGATTACAGGCATGCACCACCACGCCCGGCTAACTTTGTATTTTTAGTAGAGATGGGGTTTCTCCATGCTGGTCAGGCTGGTCTTGAACACCTGACCTTAGATGATCCACCTACCTCGGCTTCCCAAAGTGCTGGGATTACAGGCATGAGCTACCACGCCTGGCCAGGGCTTTATTTTTCACCATGGTAAATTTACTAATGAAGACCTGAGCAAAATGTGGATTAACCAGGTAATTTTTTTTTTTTTTTTTTCTGAGATGAAATCTCACTCTGTTGCCCAGGCTGGAGTGCGGTGGTGCGATCTCGGCTTACTGCAACCTCCACCTCCCGGGTTCAAATGATTCTCCTGCCTCAGCCTCCCGAGTAGCTGGGACTACAGGTGTGTGACACCACGCCCAGCTAATTTTTGTATTTTTAGTAGAGACGGGGTTTCACCATGTTGGCCAGGCTGGTCTCAGTCTCTTGACCTCATGATCTGCCTGCCATGGCCTCCCAAAGTGCTGGGATTACAGGCGTGAGCCACCGTGCCCGGCCAATGGTGTGTCTTAACAGTGGAGAGGGGAGGTTCCACAGCCACCACAGGGCGTGGTGTTTGTGTGGAAGAGCAGCTGGGGACCAGGTGACAAGATGTCTTTGTGATGCAGAACACAAGTCTGTTGTAGTGTTGCTCTGAGAGTCTCTCTCGGACGCCATCTGCCTCCACGTCACAGGCCACTCTCGTGCTGCTTGAGCTGCACGGTGAGTAAACTACTTTCAGTTTCCTGCAAGGCCATTGTTTCTATAGGGTCTCAACAATAGTTTAGGGTGGAGGGAGCTTAGGATGGAGGGGCTGCCTGAGGCTTACCCGTGTCCCGATTTCCCCCCAGTAACAGCTCCTCACCATGTCAGCTGCCTGTGAGGACGCTGTGGCAGTCCAGGTGTGGTTGCTTTGACAGCTGACATCTGCATGCGGGTTTTTAATCTTCCTCCCTGGGCTTGCCAAGTTTTGTACCTGGAGCGTCTGTCTTGAATTTCACCTTGATGGAACGGTCCATGAGTGAGGCGTCATCTTGACCACCTCTGAGCGCTCGGGATAGGCGGCTGCTCCTTGCTCAGCCTCTTTCTCCATTCCTCTCCCGCTTGAGGTTTTAATGGAAAGGTTAGGTAAACTAGCATTCTTATTTATGGTGGTTTCAAGTCTACAGAGTTCCTGGCCTAATTACAATTGCTCCATTACTTCAGGTATCCTCATCAGTGCGAGAATCTGATGAACAAAGAATCTCGCCTTTCCTCTTGCCACCCATCATTTGAAGATGTAGTGGAGCATTTGTCTTTTCTCAGCAGTCTCGGGGCTGGCAGCTCTTACTGAGTGTGACAGTCTCTGGAGGACAGAGGATTTTGCCTGCTTTGTTCACTGCTGTATCCTCAGTGGCTAGAATTATGCCCGACCCATTCCGGGGGCTCAGAAATACTGGCTCAATGAGTCCATTTCTTTCTGAAAAACATGCCTCTATTCTTACAAGGGTAAGGGCCTTCAGAAAACGTTTAGTTCAACATCTTATAGCGCAGATGGGGAAACTAATAGGTTTCTTTGCTAATGGCAGCTTCAGCCGTAGGCTGGTCTTCCTCCAGCTAGATGAGATTGATGAAGATCTCCAATCAGTTATCCCTCCTTCTTGACAGCATTCCACCCAGAGCAAAGCCCTGCTTCCTTACCCTCTCTCCCAGGCCGTATAACATTGGCCCAATCCTATGATAGGTTCTTTCTAGCACTCTCTTACTGGGACACCCGCAGTTGCCATGATGTGTGTGCAAGGGCCCATGAGCCCAGTGGGTTCAACCAGAGGTGTGGTCCTGATGGTCTTTGTCTGAGGGTCATTAATCATCGTCTTGGTGTGTTGAAGAAAGCCACAGCCACCATTGTTCCCACCATCGCAGGTGTGATGAGGGCTCTGCGGAAGGCCCAGGGCACTGGGGGAGCATGGAATGGGCCCGCCCCAGCCTGAGCACTGGGATGGCCTCTCTGGGAAATGGATTGATTGGAAGTGACGGAAGCAAAGGGCAGGATGCTTGTGGCAAGGAGGCTCGTGGCTGCAAAGGCCGAGGTGGCATCATGAGGATTCTGGTTGCTTTCTTGAGAGCAATGGGAAACCAGGGCAGGCTTTTAGCTGGAGAGTGGCCTGGTCAGACCTGTATTCACAGAAGTTGACTTGCCATTGTGGGGAGTGGGCGAGGGGGAGAGGAGGGGAAAGCAGAGACCACAGAGGAGGCTGTTAAGGTGAGGATGAGGAGGGTGACCTGAACCTGGACAGTAAGCACAGCCTGGGGGCTTTGGGGCCCACACCTCCTCCAGGGTAAGGTGAGGGGGCCATGGCAGCTGCTAACCCCTTTGAGTGACCCGGGCAAATAGGGAGGGCCCTTAGGGGGGCTGCCAGGCGAAGAAGGGGATGGAGAACTGATTCTGTGTCACTGGCAAGGGGTGGAGGCACTGCCGGGTGAGGAGCTGGCACTGTTTTCCCTGTGAATCCCCTGCAGGCAGGGAGCAGAGTGGGGCCGTATGCAGCGGGACAAACCAGCCCGTTTGCTTAGGATGCTCCTGGCTTTTGCACTGAGCATCATGTGGCTGGACAGCTCCCCCAGACCCATGTAGACTGGGACTGTGGCTTACCATGGTCCCAGGTGAGGCTGCGGAAAGGTGGGTCTTTTTGCTAACTGTCAGGTTTGCCCCCCAAAGGATCGGAAGTTCCAGGGGATAGTGGGTGAGAACCATCCCTGGAGGTGGGCACGAGGCCCCATTCATGCCAATGTCACTTTCTTTGCTGAAATATTGCCAGACCCTTTACCATCCTTAGACCAAGGCCGGGGCGTCCTTCCCTGGGCCTGGGCCTCAGGGGCCCCCCGCACTTTGGAAAGTCTTCCTTGGCATTTTCTTTACTTTTCTTTTTTTCTGAGACGAAGTTTCATTCTTGTCGCCCAGGCTGGAGTGCAGTGGCGCGATCTCGGCTCACCACAACCTCTGCATCCCAGGTTCAAGTGACTCTCCTGCCTTAGCCTCCTGAGTAGCTGGGATTACAGGCACCTGACACCACGCCCAGCTAATGTTTGTATTTTTAGTAGAGATGGGGTTTCACCATGTTGGTCAGGCTGGTCTCGAACTCCTGACCTTAGTTGATTCGCTCGCCTCGGCCTCCCAAAGTGCTGGGATTACGGGCGTGCACCACCGCGCCCGGCCCTTTCTTGGCATTTTCTAAATGCCTTTTCTAGTTGCCTGAGCCTGGACAGGGGTCCTAGTGCCCTCTGGCCAGGGAGCCCCAAGACCAGACTGAGACATGGGTGGGCCCTTGTCATAGTGCCCTAGGGCTTCAGTCACAGAGCCACACACTAAGAAGCTTCTTGTCTCGCAGCAATGGAGATGGGAAGTCTGAAATCAAGGTGTCGCCAGGGCTCTGAAGACCCCAGGGAAGGGTCTGCCCTGGCCTCTCTCCTGTCTTCCGGTAGCTTCAGGCCGTGGCTTGTAGATGGCCATCTTCGCCCTGTGTCTGCTTACATTGTCTTCCTTCCGTGACTGTCTTTGTGCCCAAACTCCTTCTTTTTATAAGGACACTTATATTGCATTAGCACCTGCCCCCAAATGATCTCATTTTAACTGGATTATCTCTTCAAAGACCCTGTTTCTAAATAAGATCACACTCTGAGGTTCTAGGGGTTAGGACTTCAACACATCTTTTGGGAGGAGGACACGATTCAACCCAAAATAGTCCTGGTTTGGTCCCTGTTCTTAGGGGCACTGTCTTATCCTCTATCCCTCTAACCCCTTCCCACCTTCAACTGTGGGGTCTACTAGATGGGGAGAGCCAGGGTGCATACCCATGGGGCCATCCCAGAGCCCTGTGGCGGGACCCTGGTTCCAGAAGGGAAGCCTAGAGAGCAGGTTGCCCCTGTTGGCTGGGGTGGTATTTCTTTCACGGGATTGTGCAAGACTAAGCAGCCAGCATGGTGGTGGGACATGCTGAATTTGGGGTGACTCAAATTTCTGATATAGATGTGTATTTCATAACATTTTCCTGAGCCCTGAACACCACGGGTTGGCCCTGTTCTGCCAGCCCCTCCCACACTGGGGAATGGCCCTCCCAGGGCCAGCGTCTGCAACCCCAGGGATGTCCAGCCTGGGCGACAGGATGTACCCCATCATTCCCTGTCTTTCCCCTATGTCATATCTCCACCTCCCAACACTCCCTGAAGGACTGTTGGAGTTAGAGTGACCCCCAATTAGAGTATTAATTATGTAGCCACAGTGAGCCTCTCTCTGGGTAATTGGAACAGAGGCACTGAGCTTGCCCTTGTCTCTGAGCAAGAGGAATTACTGATGGTCCTCAGAACACTGCAGCCTGGTCCCTGCTGCCACTCCTGCCCAGCCTGGAGACAGCGCACCTGGGGACTGGCCCTTCTTACTATTGGGAAACTCCTTCTTCCACCTGTGGGAGTCTGAGGGGGGCCAGGAGCCAGTGGGTGGGACTCAAGAAGGATACTCAGCCTCTGCAGATGGGGCTCATTGTCCCTGATGAATGGGAGCGGCCCAGACAGGAGAAGAGATAAGAAGTGTAAGGGCACAGCTGGGACACGGAGGCTGGGAGTTGAAGTTAGACCACAGTGGCATCTCATATTGTCCCAGCTTGCCACAGCCCTCACTTGGGAGGGGGCTATTGGCACCCGACCTGGGATTTGTCCTGCCTGGGACATGGGTTGAAGGCCAGAGCAGGCACTGAATATGGGGTGAGTCTGCGGCCAGGGTAGGGCTCAGAGAGAGCCCAGGTGGAGGCCAGTATGTACCTGTATAGGACAAGAGTCATGGGAGAAAAGGCTGCCAAGATTGAACAGGACCAGATCCAGGGGACCTTGAATGCCAGGGAGGGGCCTCTGAAAAGCTTCCACTGGCAAGGGAAATGATCAGATGAATATTCTAGAAAGATGTCTCTGTGGCAGGTGTAAGGTTGCATTGAAAGGGGGAGATCAATTTGGAGACTGCTGTAATAGTTTCGGCAAGAGAGCAGCATTGGAAGAGAAGAGGCCCATGTAAGATGCTGGTGCAGCAGAAGTCCTGTAATGTGGTGGAGGAAGTTTGGGAATGGCAGCCACTTACAGTTGTGCAGGTTGTGCATTGAACAATTCCAGCACTGTCTCCACCCCCTACTCCTCAATTTCATTGTCATCTATCTTAGATATGTGTAGTTACTACAAGTTCCCAATAGATGGCAGGAAAGTGTTTTGAGGAAGGGGGTAGCTTTTTCTAATTTGCAGTCCCCATATTGGCTAGTGGTGAGGCTGTGTTTGAGCTAAGCTGATCTGTGAAATGTTAGTTTCTGATGGCAGGGCCTGAGGATGTCCAGATCTGACACTGGACAGTATCAGCTGGCCAGAGCCCAAACTAGGAGCAATGACCACCCCAACTGATGCCTGGAACCCTGGGCTTTTCTCTGTACCCAGCAGAATCTCATCCGTGAAGGGCATGGCATTGAGGAGGGATGGCCAGGACTGGGATTGGGTGGTTAAGATAGGATGAGGGGTGGTGGTCTCTGGGTTGGTCACCCTACTGGCTGGCCTCCAGCATGGCTGTTAGGCTCTTGAAGGACCCCTTTCCCAGGAAGTTCTGGGGGATTTCCGTCCACTGTGCCCCAGATCTGTGTCTGTCTTCTTGGATTCTGTCCTGAGGGTAGGGTGAGTCTTAATTTCCAGCTGGAGTACAGGTGTCCTGCTCCTCCTTCTTGGGACCCGGTTCAAGACTCCCATGTAGCCCCTTCCTCTTTGATAATTAATATGTTAGCCAGCAAAGAGTTTGGTCAAGCTGCCGTACTGTGCTGGTTGTCTCCCGTTGGTCTCTTCAATCCACTCTCCACCCTCCTTCCTGCACCCTGCTCTGGAAGATGATCCTGTGGGTGATACGCCGATGGCTCCCTCTGGCTTCCAGTGGGTTCTTCCCATTGGAAGCCCCTGTAGGAGATTGGGGGCTGGAGGAGAGTGGGGTCAGGGCTTTTGTTCCCCCAGCTTTCTTCCTTGTGTAGGTGGGGGTCTTCTGTCCTGACTGTTTAATACGCTGATCTGTCAGGCAGCCCTCTGCACCCGCTCTCCCTGCACTAGTTCATTCTTTTCTTTTCTCTTTCTTTCTTTCTCTTTCTTTCTTTCTCTTTTCTTTCTTCTCTCTCTCTTTCTTCTCTCTCTTTCTTCTCTCTCTCTTTCTTCTCTCTCCTTCCTTCTTTCTCTCTCCCTTCCCTTCCTTCCTCTCTCTTTCTTTCCTTCCTTCCTTCCTTCCTTCTTCTTTCTTTCTTTCTTTCTTTCTTTCTTTCTTTCTTTCTTTCTTTCTTTCTTTCTTTCTTTCTTTCTTTCTTTCTTGTCTTTCTCTCTATGGAGTTTCACTCTTGTTGCCGAGTCTGGAGTGCAATGGCATGATCTCGGCTCACTGCAACCTCTGCCTCCTCAGTTCAAGGGATTCTCCTGCCTCAACTTCCCGAGTAGCTGGGATTACAGGCATGCACCACTACACCCGGCTAATTTTGTGTTTTTAGTAGAGATGGGGTTTTATCATATTACTCAGGCTGGTCTTGAACTCCTGAGGCCTCAGGTGATCTGCCCGCCTTGGGTTCCCAAAGTGCTAGGATTACAGTCGTGAGCCATTGCGCCCGGCCTGCGCTGGTTTCTTATTGCTACTATAACAAATCTACAAACCCACATTTATTATCTTACAGTTCTGGAGTTCAGAAATCTGAAATGGGTCACATGGGACTGGAATCAATGATTGGTTGACTTTAGTCCTGTTGGTAGGATTGCATTCCTTCTGGAGGCTCTAGCGGGGAATTCGTTCCTTGCCTTTCCCAGCTTCTAGAGGCTCCTGCATGTCTTGGCTCATGGCCACATCACTCCAGCCTGTTTCTGTTGTCACATGTCCTTCTCTGACTCTTCTGCCTCCTTTTTTTCTTTTTTTGAGATGGAGTTTTGCTCTTGTCATCCAGGCTGGGGTGCAGTGGTGCAATCTCAGCTCACTGCCATCTCTGCCTCCTGGGTTCAAGCGATTATCCTGCCTCAGCCTCCCAAGTAGCTGGGATTACAGGCACCCACCACCATGCCCAGCTAATTTTTGTATTTTTAGTAGAGATGGGGTTTCACCATGTTGGCCAGGCTGGTCTCGAACTCCTGACCTCAGGTGATCGGCCCGCCCCTGCCTCCCAAAGTGTTGGGATTACAGGCATGAGCTACCACGCTCGGCCTTCTGCCTCCGTCTTATAAGGAGCCTTGTGGTTACACTGGGCCCACCCAGATAATCCAGGATGATCTCCCCATTTTAAGACTTTTGGCTGGGCGCGATGGCTCACGCCTATAATCCCAGTACTTTGGGAGGCGGAGGTGGGCGGATCACGAGGTCAGGAGATCAAGACCATCCTGGCTAGTGCAGTGAAACCCCGTGTCTACTAAAAATACATAAAATTAGCTGGGCGTGGTGGCGGGCGCCTGTAGTCCCAGCTACTTGGGAGGCTGAGGCAGGAGAATGGTGTGAACCCAGGAGGTGGAGCTTGCAGTGAGCCGAGATGGCACTACTGCACTCCAGCCTGGGTGTCAGAGCGAGACCCCATCTCAAAAAAAAAAAAAAAAGACTTTTCACTTGGTCACGCCTGCAGAGTCCCTTTGCAATGGAAGGTGACTCATTCGCAGGTGCTGAGGATTACGAGGTAGATATCTTTGGTGGGGGGATCATTCTGCTGACCACACTTTATTCTGGGGTTCCCCTCATTCCTAGGGGTGGTCACGGCTCCTGGCTGTTCCCAGGCCTGGGGCGCCACAGGCACCATTCCTTACTGTTTCCCTATATCCTGCCTGCTCTGTCCTTTGAAGAGTTCCCTTTAACAATTTTCCTCAAATTGCCCAAATTGAGGATACCATTGGATTCTTGCTCTTTGAATTCCTGCCAGAACTCAGTGGATACACCTGCCCAGGTAACTTAATCTATCCAGTCAGTAATCTTTGAGGTGGATTCTCCCCCACCCCCCAGTTCTATGGTTGAAGAATTTAAGCGCTGGAGAGGTTAAGTAACTTGTCCAGAGCTGGCTTTGAACCATAGCTCGCCCCCTGACCCCAGAGTTGGGTCTTTGTCCCTGCTGTCACTGCTCCTCATAGCCTTACCTGGAGTGATGCCATCCCTTAAGCATACCCCCTCTGCATGGTGACAGAGGAGTGACGTTCAAAACTTACAGGTGACTATTCCTCAGTGGTCCCCCCCTTTTTTTTTCTGTGACGGAATCTTGCTCTGTCACCCAGGCTAGAGTGCAGTGGCATGACCTCGGCTCACTGCAACCTCTGCCTCCTGGGTTCAAGCAATTCTCCTGCTTCAGCCTCCCGAGTAGCTGGGATTACAAGCATGTGCCACCGTGCCCGGCTAATTTTTGTATTTTTAGTAGAGGTGGGGTTTTGCCATGTTGGCCAGGCTGACCTCAAACTCCTGACCTCAGGTGATCCACCTGCCTTGGCCTCCCAAAGTGCTGGGATTACAGGTGTGATCCATCGTGCCCAGCCCCCCAGTGATCCTCTTGCATGGGACACTGAGGCCATTGCTATCATTGGTTTGGTTGTCAAATTAAAGCTGACGGTGGTGGCTGTTACTCATTGGTGATAATGGCTACTCAGGGGTCCCTCAGAGATTATCTCGGAGGTACCCGTCCTGTTATCTCTAAGGCCACATCAGAGATCAAAATAGAATGAAGGCTAACAGAAAGGGCTTTGGAGTCAGGTGGGCTTGGATTCCTAACCCAGTTTGACTACTCACCAGCTGTGTGCTTTTGTGCAAGTTACTTAACCTCTCTGAGCAATTGTTTCCTCATTTGGATAATAGAGGTCATAACTGTTGCTACCTCAATGGGTTGTCAGAGGATTAAATGAGTCAATGCACATAAAGTCCCTTGAAGGGCTGACCACGACAATATACTCCAGTGGCTTCTTTTTTTTTTTTTTTTTGAGACGGAGTCTTGCTCTGTCGCCAGGCTGGAGTGCAATGGTGCGATCTTGGCTCACTGCAACCTCCGCCTCCCGGGTTCAAGTGATTCCCCTGCCTCAGCCTCCCGAGTAGCTGGGACTACAAGCATGTGCCACCACGCCTGGGTAATTTTTTGTATTTTAGTAGAGACGGGGTTTCACCATGTTTGCCAGGATGGTCTCGATCTCCTGACCTCGTGATCCCCCTGCCTCGGCCTCCCAAAGTGCTGGGATTACAGGCGTGAGCCGCCGCGCCCGGCCCCTGTTGTTATAATCATTATGCATGCTGCCACCCTGGGGTCACCTCTGTACACCCCTTGGCAGCACTCCAGCAGTCCTGACCTTCCATTTACCTTCTGAGAGCCCCGTGTTCAGGTGCCCTCTGTACACTGGCAGAATCCCCACTTCCTGGCTGTAGATGAGAGTGAATTTTCACAACCTTCTTGTAGCCGTGGCAGCTCCTGCCAGTGTGTGAGGGATGCGTCGCCTTGGGGAGCCTGCTGCATACTCTGTGTCAA
This sequence comes from Homo sapiens, assembly GCF_000001405.40. Lineage (NCBI taxonomy): Eukaryota > Metazoa > Chordata > Mammalia > Primates > Hominidae > Homo > Homo sapiens. The sequence goes on along the minus strand of NC_000017.11, from coordinate 6,408,918 downwards.
TGTGAACACCGCGACCTTCTGCGGACGTCCTTTTTTTTGTAATAAATATTGCAAACGGCCAACACTGAGTCTTCAGTTCTTTCACAGCTCCTTTTCAGGACCCGTTTGGGGAATTCTAAGCAAGACAAGTGACACTGATCTCAAAACTTTGTACTCATCCTGCTGACAATTTTGCATTTGTCTCTTAGAAATGCCTTTTCTTTTTCTGGGATATTGCATCTTTTCCCGGCCCCTCAGGGCTGCCCAGTCAGTTCCTGGGGCCAGCATCAGAAGCCCCCATCTCCGGGACTTGCAAACGGCCCCGAGTTCAGATCTGAGGAAAGAACATGAAAGATGTCCTTTGGCCCATCGGGAGCAGAGGCTTGGCAGCGGGATGACAGCAGCAAAGAGGCTTCCTCTGATTCATTGAAGCCATCAGCTGTCTCTCCAAATGTTTCTTCCCCTCTAAGCCTTGTTTTGGTTAATTTAAGAACAGCTGCCCTCAATGGGAACCAATTTTTGACAGTAGGTAGAAGCAGCTTCCCAGGAAAGCTGCTGGCGTGGGAATGGAGGATTAGCTAGGGATTTAGAGGTGGGGACCTCTTGGGGTGTGCTACTTAATTGCTTTCCTCCCTTAGTGAGGAGACCCCATTATGGAGGATGAGTAAATAAACTTGGTTATTCCCAGGGAGAGTTAAAAGCGTCTTGAGAACCTGGAACTATGGTGGAAGGAAACTTGCGATGGACTAGATAAGTGGTCAGCAAAGCCATTTTCTTTGATACCTGGACAGGGCTGGCCTGTGTTTCCCAGCTCCCTTGAAGTTAGGTGGGCCCCTGAGCCTGAGCACCAGCAGGGAGAATGAGTGTGGAAGTGATGCATGCCGCTTAAGGCTTGGCCCTAGCAGCCCTTCTCATGATTCCTTCCTACCTGGTAACTGACGTTGCCAAAGTATCAGTGAGGCCCTTTGTGTGAGACAGTGGAACCCTAGCATGGAGGGAGCCTGGACACCCGGGGGTCTACTCTTTTTTTTTTTTTAAATAGGGTCTTGCTCTGTTGCCCAGGCTGGAGTGCAGTGGCACGATCTTGGCTCACTGCAATCTCCACCTCTTGGGTTCCTGTGATTCTCCTGCCTCAACCTCCCAAGCAGCTGGGATTACGGGTGAATGCCACCAAGCCCGGCTATTTGTTGTTGTATTTTTAGTAGAGATGGGGTTTCACCATGTTGGCCAGGCTGGTCTCGAACTCCTGACCTCAGGTGATCTGCCCACCTCAGCCTCCCAGTGTGCTGGGATTACAGGCGTGAACCACCATGCCTGGCTAATTTCTTTTTTTGTATTTTTAGTAGAGACAGGGTTTCACCATGCTGGCCAGGCTGGTCTCAAACTCCTGACCTCTGGTGATCTGCCAGCCTTGGCCTCCCAAAGTGCTGAGATTACTGAGGGTCTACTCTTAAAACTGTTACATGAATCAGAGAAAAGCCTGTACTGTTTCCAGCCAATACGATCTTTTGAGATCTTTCTTGTGGTTGGTTACAGTAGTTAGTGTGCCGTGATGAATACTGGCATTCAAGCTCATGGAGTCCTGCTCTTTTATTTGAGATGTGGTAGGATAGACTGGGAGACATTCCTCCTATAAGGGCATAGATTCCAATAGCAGAACGGGATTATTTGGGCTGGCAACACACCCACATGTACAGTGGGTACACACAGAATGCAAGAGGCTCCACTGGAGTCCAATACGCCAAAGCTGGGATCACATTTGCATTTAGCACTTTGAGTCCTCTTTGTAGAAAGATGTGCTTGTTCTTGGGTAATTCAGGATAAAACCAGATGCAGCTCTTGTTGGTGGAGGGATGAAGTCAGCAGCCAGAGCCTCCCCATCTTACTCCAGTCTGTAAGACCAGAGCCCACTTCTCTGTTCTTTGGAACAGTAGGAATGACCTGACTCCCTCTCTGACCTGAGGCCAGGAGGCCTTTTCCCTCCCTACTGTTAGGAGGGAACACGTTGGATAAAGCCTGAACTCCGGTTTTCCTTGGGTGTGGGGTCTCACGGTGCCCGCCTTGATCCTTTCCTCCAGACACCTGCTTTCCCACCACTTCCCAGGGGCTGTGATCTGGCTGAGGATTCCCCTGGTGAGTTCAAGCCCCGATCCTTTTAGTAAGGAAAACACCCATAGAACCAAGTGGGCAGGCTGCCCGCCTCGGGTCCTTAGGGAGAAAAGACTCAGGCTCTGTGGGAAATGGGCCTTTCCCAAGGTCACACAGCAGGTCCGTGGTAGAGCAGACGCAGGTCCAATTACCCTTGTCCCCTTCTTTATGAGTGATCACTCCGCACATGTGTGGGTCATTCACGGGATGGACACAGGACAGGTAGGGCCCGGAGCTTCCCGATGGGATCTCACAGAGCTGTCTGCTCCGTGATTGGTTGGTTCTCCTCACCAGTATGTGGTGGTCTCTCAACATCTCACTCACCCAAGGGAACCGGAGTGGAATTTTATGTTTTATCAGCCCAGCTACAGGGAGTGATGATTTTATTTATTTATTTATTTATTTATTTATTTATTTATTTATTTATTTATTTTTGAGACGGAGTCTTGCTCTGTCACCCAGGCTGGAGTGCAGTGGCATGATCTCCGCTCACTGCAACCTCCGCCTCCCGGGTTCCAGCAATTCTGCCTCAGCCTCCCCAGTAGCTGGGATTACAGGCACCCACCATCATGCCCGGCTAATTTTTGTAATTTTAGTAGAGACGGAGTTTCACTATGTTGACCAGGCTGCTCTTGAACTCCTGGTGATCCACCCGTCTCAGCCTCCCAAAGTGCTGGGATTACAGGCATGAGCCACCACCCCCAGCTGGGAGTGATGAACTGTTGAATAAATTCATTTGTCCCTTCATTCATGTTGAGCGGTGCTAAAAGCCTGCTGCATTCCAGGTTCCGAGGCCCTGGGTTTACGGAGGTAGGGGAGAGATAGACTGCCTCTTGATCTCACTGGAGTTCAGAATCCAGTGGGGAGCTTAGTCAGGCTGAAGACCCAGCGTGGTCTTACCTGGAGGAGAAGGTGGCCTTGTGCCAAGTCAAACACGTGGAAAAGTGAGGAAGAATGAGAGCTACAAGGCTATGTTGCCATGGGAAGGATCTGGAGCTTAGCTTCAGACCAAAGACAGAATGCAAACACTGGTAAGTGAGGGAGGAGTGGTGAATAGTGGAGGCCGTGGGTTAGAGGAGCTCACCAATGAAGGGGAGCAGAGAACCGGCTCGTGGATGCTCCACCACGGAAGGGGAAGTCCATGCCTGCTTGTGGGCAGAGGGAAGGAGGCCGGGAAGTGCGTGTGTGTGTGAGAGACTGAGAATTGACAACTAGGCAATGACTGATCATCAGAGGGTGACTTGTTTGAAAGAAGGGACCTATCAGAAGCAAGTGCCACCTGCCCTCCCTACCCTATGAGGTAGAGAATTATTATTATCCCCAGTTTCCAGATGAGGAAACCAAGGCTCTTATCAGGACGGTGAAGTCAATGCCTATAATAAATGTAGCATATAGTGCAAAAACTGCTGAACTCTTCAACCAATTGGGTTTGCCTTCTTACTAGGGGATCACCAGTAAGTAACCCTGGTAATACCAGGTGTTATTCCCCCATCAAACCGATGTGGAAACTAAGGTTCACAGAGGCGAAGTAAAAATGTTGATTTGTGTCTGATGTTCTACATCTGATTATGGGGAGACACAGTGTTGAAAGGAATGAAGAAGGCTTTGGGGGTGTTTATTGTGGCACTGTTCACAATAGCAAAGACTTAGAACCAACCCAAATGCCCATCAATGATAGACTGGATAAAGTAAATATGGCACATATACACCATGGAATACTATGCATAAAAAAGGATGAGTTCATATCCTTTGCAGGGACATGGATGAAGCTGGAAACCATCATTCTCAGCAAACTAACACAGGAACAGAAAACCAAACACCGCATGTTCTCACTCGTAAGTGGGAGTTGAACAATGAGAACACATGGACACAGGTGGGGTGGGGAACATCACACACTGGGGCTGTCCGGGGGTCTGGGGGCTAGGGGAGGGATAACATTAGAAGAAATACCTAATGTAGATGACGGGTTGATGGGTGCAGCAAACCACCATGGCATGTTTATACCTATGTAATAAACCTGCACGTTCTGCACATGTATCCCAGAACTTAAAGTGTAATAAATTAAAAAAAAATTCTTCTCTTATGCATTTACTCTCTTTATGTGTTCACTTTTTATGTGCTATTTCCCATCTTGTTTTTCTTTTTTCATGGTGAATCCCTTTGTTAGGCTTTCAGATGAGACGCTAGATGGGTAGAGTCATCTGTGTCAGTCAGTAGCATCAATAGAACTTGCCACCAGAAATCCTCTTTCCCATCTCCATATCTGGTTCAGCTACTTCTTTGAGGGAGGTGTGGTCCAGGAATTGGAATTCTCCATAGTAGGCAAGAATCATGGCCTCCCAAAGATGCCCGTGTCCTAATCCCCAGAACCTGCAAGTAGGGCAGGTTACATGGCAAAGGAGAATTAAGGTAGCAGTTGGAATTAAGTTTTCTAATCAGCTGACCTTAAGGTAGGAATATATGTTGGGTGGATCCAACATAATCATGACGGTCCTTAAAAGGGGAATAGGTTAAGGGAGAACCAGAGAGATGGCACCATGGGAAGGACTTGGCTAACAAATGTGGTCAGGCTGGAAAAAACAAGGACAAGAATTCAGCCCTAGAGCTTCCAGAAAGGAATGCAGCCCTGCCAACATCTTGATCTTAGCCCAGTGAGACCCCTTTAGGGATTCTGAGTTCCAGAACTGTAAGATAATACATTTGCGTTGTTTTAAGCCAGTAAGTTTGTGGACATTTGTTAGGATAGCCATAGAAAACGAATACAGTACGGTGGTATATATCAAGGTGATGGTCTCAGGCGAAAAGAACAGACCTCAGATGGACAGAAACATCTCGGACAGATTTGTTTCCATTTCAGCTGCAGTTTTTAGAGGTCAGCAACACCCAGGGGCAAACTAAGGCCAAGGATTTGGCCTGAGCTTCATCCCCCAGAATCTCTTATCTGGGTTCTCTTCCTTCATAGGCCATGTAAACAGATGCTTCAGTTAACATGACATCTCTGCCTTTCTCTCTCATCATCCTTGTATCTGTATCTTTGTTCTTGCCCTTCCATTTTTCAGTGGTCTCCTACAAAATGTTTTACTCCTTAACATATGAGATTCTTGACTTTCAAGCTACTCAAGACTGATACTTTCCATGTCAGTCCATATATTCCTATTCACATTGCCAATAATCAGATCAGCAAAGCCACTTAAATCTCAAATAGAGGACCCCATACTTCCAGGATGAGAATACCCAGGTACCCTTGCAATAGGTAAGCCACGGGCCATCTGCTGATGACATCATTGCCTTCCAGGTGCAATTCCAAGCAGTCCCTCAATATGGTGAAAAATTAATTCCCAGTTATCTTTGGACTACCCAGGACATCTAAATTAAAGTAACATTACTTCAGGCTGGGAGTTCAAGACCATCCTGGGCAACATAGCGAGATGCTGTCTCTACAAATACATTTAAAAAAATGCCAGGCATCGTAGCACACACTTATCATCTTAGCTACTCAAGAGGCTGAAGCTGGAGGGCTGCTTGTGCCTGGGAGTTTTAGACTGCAATGAGCTATGATAGCCACTGCACTCCAGCCTGGGTGACAGAGCGAGATCCTGTCTGTAGAAAGAAAGAAAGATCCTCCCTCTAGAAGGAGAGAGACAGACAGAGAGAGAGAGAGAGAGAGAGAGAGAGAGAGAGAGAGAAACAGCTATTTAGCATTTCTTAGTAAATTCCACTGCATTCTGGGCACAAGAGTTCCAGTTGGTAGCAAGGAAGACGGACTCTACGCCTGGATCCCTAACTTCCCATTTTGTGAGGCTTCATCCTGTAGCCACGAAAGGCAAGTAAGAATCCATAGTAGCAATCAAATTCATCAATAAGCATTTCTTTCCATTAAAACTAAGATTGCTCTGTAAGTAAATCTCAAACAGGGGAATGCATCTAATTAGAATTACAAGAATTCTGCCCAATCTGCTTTCTCCCATTGCACTGTATATTCTGAACAATTTTATTCTTTTTCAAATTGCCAATTTAAAAAATGCATCCATTCAAAAGGTACACAAAAATTAGCTCTCAATTTTCAATTTTGGCTTCAATCTTACTTTAATGGAGCATCTTTCTCCAGCGGGGTTTTATTCTGCAGCCTGCAGCAGCTGCGTTAAAATTCACTTGGGGAAGAAATGCCCATCCTGGTTTTGAGTAAAGGAAAAGCAAAATTACGAAATAAAACATGGACATCTATTTAGAGAAATATGTGAAGCTGGAAAACAGAGTGGAAGAAGAAATTCAGTTATCTCTTGATCATTATCCCTGCGAAGCTCAATGAGTCACAGGTCTGCGTTTCATTAAAAAAAAGAAAATCCGTCTACCAAATGGTTTAAGTTAATAAAACCTGAAACCTCACATCATCACTTCTTCTTGAGTGGCCAATTCATAATAACATTTTGTTTCAGGCAGTTCTGAAGTTTATTTTTCTCTTGTAGAACTGTTCGTAGTCTTGAAAAAGCACAGAAAAGCACAGAATGACAGGAAAAAAAGTTGTACTTCTTTCGGGAATGAACTTCCTGGCAATCAGCATGTAATGGAAGAAAGGGTATGTTTAAAACAAAAGTAGCCCTTTGATATGGCTTGGATCTGTGTCCCCACCCAAATCTCATGTTCAATGATAATTTCCATTGTTAGAGGTGGGGCCTGGTGGGAGGTGACTGGATCATGGGGCTGGATCCCCCATGAAGAGTTTAGCACTATCCCTTTGCTGGTGTTCTCATAATAGAGTTCTCACAAGATCTGGATGTTTAGAAGTGTGTAGCACCTTCCCCACTCCCTCCTCCTCCTGCTCCAGCCATTTAAGACTTGCCTGCTTCCCCTTTGCCTTCTCCCATGACTGTAAGTTTCCTGAGGCCTCCCCAGCCATGGTTCCCATACAGTCTGCAGAACCATGAGCCAAATTAAACCTCTTTTCTTTATAAATTACCCAGTCTCAGATATGTCTTTATAGCAATGCAAAAATGGACGAATAACACCCTTTAATATATATCCAAACATGAATTCCAACTTAATTATTCAACTATGTGTCCAACAGTGGTATTAGGCCACTGAACAAAGACAGCATCTTGACACAGATTTACCTAAATAGTAATGCTGGAAGTTGCAATCGCTGAGTAATTACTGCATACACACAATCACATTGCCAGAAATGTGCCATTTATCCAGCTAGAGCTCTCCCGCCTTTCCTTCCAGGGATCTGGCCACCCACAAGTCTGGACAGGGCTGTTGAGGGTGCTCAGTGCACAGGGAAAGGGAATTGCAGTGCTTTCTTTTAGGGCAATTTTCAGCCTGCTCTGAACCAGGCGTATCTTTAACTACTCAGTCTTGAGTTACAGATTTCCAACACGATCTGTTTCTTTTCTAGTATAAAGACCAGGCATTGGCAATCTTAGATCTTACCTCCCAGCTCTTTCTTTATTTTCCATCTTCACTTTTCCATCTTCCCAGCACAGTGACATCACAATTTTGGTTAAGTCACTATCTTGTGTTTCTAATTATTATGACTCTATAACTGTTGTTCACTGTCAAGCCAGCGATACGATATGATGAGGCTTCTTTTCACATAATTGTTTGGGTTTTTGTTTTCCTCCTATTTTGTTCAATCTCATCCTGTCTCCATGGCTTTGAATACCAAGAACTTACTGACCACTTTCATGATCTGCCCACACCCCTACCTTGTGCTCCAGACCTCTGTACACAATGACCTCAAATTCTTCACTTGGGTGTTGTATTAGTTAGGGTTCTCCAGAGGGACGGAACCAAATAGGATCTATCAATATATGAAAGGCAGTTCATTAAGAATTGGCTTACACGATTACAAGGCAAAGTCGCACAATAGGCCATCTGCAAGTTGGGGAAGAGAGAAGGTGGTAGTGACTCAGTCCAAGTCCAAAAGCCTCAAAACCAGGGAAGTTGGCGGTGCAGCCTTCAGTCTGAGGCCAAAGGACCAAGAGCTCCTGGCAAGCCACTGGTGCAGTCCCAGAGTCCAAAGGCTGAAGAAACTAGGGTCTGATGTCCAAGGGCAGGAGGAGCAGAAGAAAGCATCAAGCACAGGAGAAAGATGAAAGCTAGAAGACTCAGCAAGCAAGTTTATCCCATCTTATTCCACCTGCCTTGTGCTAGCTGCACTGGCAGCTGATTGGATGGTGCCCACCCACATTGAGGGTGGGTCTTCCTCTCCCAGGTCACTGACTCAAATGTCAGTCTTCTCTGGTAACACCCTTAAAGACACACCCAGAAACAATACTTTACCAGCCATCTAGGCATCCTTCAATCCAGTCAAGTTGACACTTAATATCAACCATCACATGTGTCTGATAAGCTTTCTTAATATGCCTAAGGCACATCCTCTATGCTCCCCACCACCCCACAATATTCACCTGTATCTTTCTCTAGCCCAGCTACCAGTCACTCCAGCCTGCAACTGTTCAGACGAGGTGCTTTGAAGTTCCTCTGATTCTCTGCTTGCTCTTACACTCCACATCCAATTTTGGCAAATTCTCGTTACCTCTACCTGCAAAACACAGCCACAATCTGTCTCTTACCCTCTCTCACTGCTG